>NC_000003.12:85161515-85464545 GCF_000001405.40 Homo sapiens
GGCCTACTAAAACCTAGGTGAATGTCACAGAATGTACTGTCAACAATTTGGAATTTAATGTATAAAAAAAAATGAATGAGTGCAGGAACCTGGGAATGGGATGTATTTATCTGCTGAAAGAGAAGACGTGAGAAAATATGAATCATATGTTGACATAGATAGGAAGGTGGATAGGTGTGTATTACTCAGAATGTTGAGTAAAATACAATAGAAATTTCAAGGCTGGGTGCGGTGACTCATGCCTGTAATCACAGCACTTTGGGAGGCCGAGGTGGGCGGATCACTTGAGGTCAGGAGTTTGATACTAGTCTGGCCAACATGGTGAAACCCATCTCTACTAAGGAAACAAAAATTAGCCGGGTATGGTGGCAGTCGCCTATAATCCCACCTACTCGGGAGGCTGAGGCAGCAGAATCCAGGGATGGGGAGGTTGCAGTGAGCTGAGATCACATGACTACACTCCAGACTCCGCAACAAGAGCAAGACTCCATTTAAAAGGAAAAACAAAAAGAAAGAAAGAAAGAAAAAACAAGTACCTTTGTCTTTTAACCGTCAGTGATTGGTTGCCCAGATATTGATTGGGTTCATTATATAAACCAGAAATATCTAACTGCTAGGCATTTAGCAGTTAACAGGGAAATTCCTGCTTACATTCGAGGGTGTGGATGGGTTTTTACAGTTTAATTTTTTAGTGCATGTTAAAATCTGTCTCATTATAAAGAAGAGACAAGTAAATATGTGATCCAAAAAATGCTACCACAGAAAAAATATATATGCCATAACACTTGAGTTAGGAAAATAATACTAATTACCGGGATTTATGTAGCGTGCTTACCAATTGTTCCTGATCATTATGCAATAAATAATGGCTTTTTATATCAACAAGCATGTCAAAAAATTTTTGGTAGGTTTGGATAGGTTTACACTTCTAATTATTCTCCCTGATTTACCTTTTAATATAAAAATTCTGGAAGCAATGGACACAAACCAAAAATACCATTTTTCAAGTTTCAAAAGTTTAATGGAAGTCAGCTGAAAGATGTCTACCATTAAAAAAAATAATATATGGTTGAGGTTTGTGTTTCTAGAGTTTATACAAAAAGGCTTGTACACAGATCACTCAGAATTTCAATGACATCTATACACTGTTATTAACATAGTATTTTTAAATAGTAATATTTTTGAAGCTTATATGTTATGGTCTTACATGGAATTTAATCTTGGAATTTTAACTTTTGCCTATAGATTTTAATTACACAACAGAAATATTTTCTACAACATTATCAAGAATTTATTCTTATATAAACCCTATGTTTTGACAGCATCCTTGGCAATAATACATTTGTAATTGTAAATATTACCACAACACTATTAAATGACAGTAATTAGTATGTATATGGAGATAGACATATTTTGAAGAAAATAGACATATATATATATATGACTATTGAAAGAATACAATTTGATGATCATCTACCTGATAAACAAATGGAAATTCAAGTAACCTCAGTCTCAAACTTAACATGTAAATTTGAAATAGTTATATGTAATGCTGACTCATCATTCTTTATGCAACACAGTCATGTTATTACATGTCATATTCAATTATAACAGTATGAAATTTATGATTAATGTGACCCTATCATTAACAAAAACAATAATACATGTTTGCATTTCTGTGAGTTTGAAAACCTCTAGTCCATGTAGACTGAATGTATTACAAGCCTACTAGCAGGTTATTTGTTGAGATTCATGACTGAGCAAATAGGTATTTGCCGGATAATGTTTGAGGCAGACCTTTAAAATTTGGTAAAAAGTTTCTAAAGCAATATGGGGCAGGCGATAAAAAGCTTCTTGGGCATCAGAAACATCGTGAACTGGGATACTGAAGCAGGAAAGAATTCACTGAAAATGAGTAGTATATCTCAGCCATAATAACGAAAAATTGGTATATCAGAAGCCATTAGGCTGAGGACACACCGATACTATATAATTTGTCATTTATTTGGAAAACAAAATCGACCCTCAGGATTTTACGCCCTCAGACAATTAATCTGCATGTATTTAAGATACAAAAATACATATATACCATCCACATACCCTCATCTCAAAATTAGAACAGCTTGTGTTAAAACATAAAGACTATGACAGTTCTTACTCATTTATCTTTTCACAGTTAACTATTTCATTTAGATTTTATGGCAATCTGTATTCACATGCTAGCATAGAAGTCATATTAAAAAACCTTGATTGAGATGTAATTCACATATCATACTATTTACCCAATTAAAGTGTACAATCCATATGGTTTTTAGCATGTTCAGAGTTATGCAACACCAATACAATCAATTTTAGAACATTTTAATCACTCAGGAAACTTCAGAACCATTAGTAGTAATTCCTCATTTCATACACCCTGTACTCTCCCACTACTCATTCCCCCCAGGCAATTATTTGTCTACTTTCTGTTTCTATATATTTTTAAATGTCCAGAATAGAAATGACTTTATATGTTTTTGAAAACTTTGGTATCAACTACAGTGCTTAAAATGAATACCAGTAACTACATGTATTATCTTTGAACAAATTGCTGCTGTGAAATGAAGAAGAACAAAATTCATTTTGCCTTTGGATTTTTCTTGCTATCTTTCTTATTTTTATATACTTTTCATGTGTAATATTGAGATGACTATGTGAAGGTGAGCTGGGTTATGATTAAACAGAATAAAACAGATAACTCACAGATACTGGCAAGTATAATAAAGTGTTTAGTTACGTCCTGAGATTGTCTTATTCAAAGATTTTAAGAAAATGAACTTACAGACACTACCAAGCTATAATCCATATTTTCTGCCTCTGAGAGGCCTTAAAGAGAATTGTGAAAGATGTGTGGTTAAATCTTTGCTCCTATTTAGGCCGATTTTTAACCCTATCCCTTGCCCTCAATCAACTGTAAGGTATTGCTCTATTTTCAAAATTACAAACATCTAAACAGCAATCTGTCACGGGAAGACCTGAGTTCTTTGAATTTCAGTATTTAAAGGCAATGTTTCCTCCAATTCCTAACAGAGAATGTGTTAGGCAGACATCTCCTGAGACTTGCTCAGAATGCAATCAGGCATGTCTTGATTTGTATAGGCAAATCTCTGCAATTGCTGTGTTTCTTTTAGAATGAGAGAATGTGCCCCAATTGAATAGACACATTAGGAGTTGCCCTTATTTGGAGTTTGTCTTTCACATGCTTAAACATGATGCTATTTATACATTATTATTTTTGTAGAAGAGTAAATTCAAATTTATTTATTTCCACTTTTAAATTAAAATCGTGCTTTCAAGCTTGATAAGAGCATGTGAGTTTTTTTAACAAAACAGTTTATATAGAACAATCAAGAAATTATTTGAATATTAAAGGTATTCTTAAATATATATAGAAAGTGTATGTGTGTACATATGTGTGTGTGTGTGTGTGTTTCACGTTGGTCAGGAGTATCACATTGAATGGAAAATGTTTAAAAGTACTCCGAAATTTAAAAGTCAATAGCTACATGATCAAGGGCCCCAGTATAATGGGATTTTAAGTTAATTTTTGGTATTAAATATAATTAATCATGACTGTAATAAGCTATGTCACCAATTTCATAAATTTATGGCTAACTCATATAATCAAATCTCTTGAATTACATTTACTTCTGCGTGTAAGAAAAATGGATGAGGAAGAACAGATGTTAATATTCTCCATCTCTCTGTGAGACGATATTACTTCCGCAAAGCTTAGAAAGCAAAATTAACCTTATTGTATAGATAAAGCTAAATATATTCACAAATCTTTAAAGAGTAATACTTAAATTAATGGTCTAAGACAATTTTAAGAACTTAAGAACGCACTTAAAAAAGGTCCCAAGCTATTTTAAAAATTGCTCCTAATGTTATTCCACTTTAGGCTTCACTTAAAAAATGTACAAGAAGGAAATAAATGCTTTTTCATATTGATGTAATATGTGCTTAAGGGTTTACATTTTTAATATGTGTTTTTTCATAGTGACTTACACTTTTGATAGTTAAAAGAAATGGAAATAGTAGAGGATCCCTTTGCTTTGGTATGTCTTAGGAAATGAATAAATCTGATGAGTGTGTGATAAATATCCCTGAAGACACAGAGTTTATATATACTGAAGAAGTTGCAACTTAAAAACAAATGTGGGCAACAGTCTATAGAATGTCCAAGTTTCATTTAAAATTGATAACTATTTTTCTCAGAAAGTAAGTGATACAGTATTTGCCTCTTAGGAAAATTGAATTACTAACCAGTAATTATAGTTCTCTGAATCTAATATTCTCAGTGGATTTGTATCAACTGTCTTGGGGCATTTTGGCATATGAGGTATAGTGATGTAGCTATATTATAAAATAAAGAAAATTAAGTTCTGATAGATTGCATCTTAAATCTATCTAGTATCATTCTATAAAGCCACTTTATAATTTTTTTTCCCAACAGTTTTGTCAAGTAAATTCTATTAACCCAACATGTAGTTCTTTAAAGCACAGGAAGTTTAAAATACAGGCTCAAGATCATAATGACATTTATAAAGCTAGAAATAAAATCTGTAGTCCTGATAACTGTACAGATCCACTTTGTCATATGTAGTCTATTTTTGCAAAATTGTGTAGAAAAGCAATATATATGGAATGTGCTAATCTTTAGAAGATTTTAAACATCCGTCATCCGCACTATCTCATGTGCTATAATATTTTTGAACCTTTAATTCAGTGTGGCATGATATATATTAATCTGTGGATTGCTTATTAAAATATGTATCTGAAAATTTGGATATAACATGGAAATTTGATTATTTTATAATGAGATTTTAGAAAGCATGATATATGAGAATCAAGATTCTAGAATAAAAAATATTCAGACATAATTATCCTATTCAGATTTACATGAACAATAAGAAACACCTTACCATTTGAAGCTTCATAAACAATGAAATACATATTTCTATTGCATCAAAAATTTCTGAAGTATAATATAGCTAAGGAAGAACTAACATCTTCTGGAAAATATAAAGACAATAATTATAATTAATGCATATAAAATTTGATTTGGAGAAAGTATTAAAAGACTATTTAGAAAGCTTAAATTCTTCTAAATTCCAAATGTTTGCCTACCGTTGCCAGATCGGGAGATCCTCTTTTTCTCTGCTTATATCAGTAAGTTTAAATACTGTTTTTAGAAAATATATGCTTTCTCATCAATAGGGAGGTAAGAATACTGGAGAATGTCATTTTAAATACTCGGATGATGAAAATATTAATCATGCCAAGGGATTTTGTTATCATTTTTTCCTGTAAGAGGACTCAATTTATTTGTATTGTATATGATAAAATTAAAATACATTTATGTATGTGATCATCTGAAAACAAATGTTCAACCAAGAAAAAATAACTAGCAACAAAATATTCAAAAGCATATTTTACTGCTGTTAAGGCATATGCCTTAGTTCTTGTTTGTCCTAAGAAATAGAGATTGCATGATAAAAAATATTTTTTTTCCTAAAGCCTTTGTCAATATATTTGGGACTGTGAATTAACTTTCATTTCAGATGAATATTTCAGTTTCTTATTTTAAGGAATATGTACTTTCAAAAGATTCCAGTATCAAAAGGTGACTCCTGCAGAAAGGGTTTGAAGGAGATTTAAATGGTTTTCGCTCCTCCTATCATGCAGTAAGTGGAAAAATCCCATAGAAATTTGAGTTAATATGCTCAGCTCTTAATTCCATTTAGCAGTTAAGAAATATTTTATTATATATCAACAAAGATGATTATATTTGTACTGCTTTTTATATTTTTAAAGAGAAATACATAATAAAATGGATATAAAATATAAAACCAATAATTTATAGATCCCTAATTTTATTAATATGATATTTTATGGTAATAATAAAAGCAGGAAACATTTGAAAGCAACTGTGAGTGCCAAATACTTTGTAAGGAATCTTTCATTTCAAGTTTACAAGAGCTTTGCATGGAGAGCTGTCTTCCTTATAAACTAGGAGGTGTGAAGAACTGAATTCAAACCCAAATTAGCTTAATCTAAAATGAATACCCTTAACCAGTGTGTTATACTTTCTCCATTGATTTTATTTAACAATTAAACCACTTTTAATCCATTTCCAAATTTTAGTTTGCGTTCAGTACTATTCAATACCTTTCTTTCAAAAAAACTTCCTTATCATATAAGTAGCATATGCTAATTGCAAGGTATGCAAAAAGTAAAAAGTAAATCAGAGAGAATGCATAAAATTATCTGCAGTCATACTATCCAAAACACATTCACTCATTAACTACACATTCCTTGGGCTTTCTTCATATGTTGGGTGTGTATATATATGTATATACATATATATCTCTCCACATTGCCCCAAATAACTGTTAGACTCCCTGCATCCTAGAGCTTCGGGCCTAAACAGTGAAAGGGACTAAGCTCAAGTGGTACCTATTATTACATAGAAAGTGATAATGCTAACCATAAACTTATTTATTTATTTATTTATTTGAGGTGGAGTCTCCCTCTGTTTCCCACGCTAGAGTGCAGTGGCTCGATCTGGGCTCTTTGCAACCTCCACCTCCCGGATTCCAGTGATTCTCTTGCCTCAGCCTCCCAAGTAACTGGGATTACAGGCACTCACAGCCATGCCTAGCTCATTTTGTGCTGTTAGCAGAGATGGGGTTTCACCATGTTGGCCAGGCTGCTCTCAAACTCCTGACTTCAAGTGATCTGCCCACCTTGGCCTCCCAAAGTGCTGTGATTACAGGCATGAGCTACCATGCCCGGCCCCTTAACCGTAAACTTTATAGCTTTAGTTTTGTGAAAACATAATGTACATAATTGACCATGTTGTCAATGTTCACAACATTATTGATAATACCTGTGTGGTATTCCAGTAAATATTTGTTATAATTATTTAACACTTAGTTTATCTGGTTTGTCACCATTTATATAATATTTCAAGAAACATAATTCAGACATTAAAAATACATTTTTATTGTATTAGTCAAGACATGTTCATACTGATTATATTTGGTATTCTTTAAAACAGTGTCTTTTGCCTTAATTTTATCTAATCTGTAATTTGCCATGGTGATACTTTCACCCAAGCCAATATATACTTCCTTCACTATCTAATATTGATTCTGAAATAAAACTTAATAGACATATCTCACATTCATTTCCAATGCAACCTGGATTTCTTCTGTGAAAATCATCATAGTTATCATTTTATTGCATTTCTTAGTGGAATATTAGCTACAGAAAGACAAAGTTCATATTTGTCTATTTTTTGGCATGAATCAGGCATTTAATATATATTTGAATAGTGGACAAATACAATTGTTTTTGAATTTCTTTATTAATATTTAGTAAAGATTTATTTATTTATTTATTTATTTATTTGGGATGGAGTTTCACTCTTGTTGCCCAGGCACAGTGCAATGGTGTGATCTCTGCTCACTGCAATCTCCACCTCCTGGGTTCCAGGGATTCTTCTGCCTCAGCCTCAGGAGTATCTGGGGTTACAGGCGCCCACCACCAAGCCCAGCTAGTTTTGTTTTGTTCTGTTTTGTTTTGTTTTGTTTTGTTTTTGTTTTTTTAGTAGAGACAGGGTTCCAGTTCCACCAGGTTGGCAAGTCTAGTGTCGAACTCTTGAACTCAAGTGATCCACTCACCTTGGCCTTCCAAAGTGCTGGGATTACAGGCATGAGCCACTGCGCCTGACCAATATTTAGTAAAGTTTTATTCTACTTAGTTTTGTTTCTTTCAAACTTGAGTCCATATACCTATGGTTATTTACATGATTGTGTTTTATTAAGAGTCCTCTTCTCAGTTTAATCCTTCTAGTAAATTAAATGTATTATCTGTAAAATAATTTTTATGCAGCCAATAAAAAATTACTTAAGAAGTAAGCCACTTCTTGTATGGGTGTGGTGGCTCCCATCTGTAATCCCAGCATTCTGGGAGGCTGAAGCAGGTGGATAACCTGAGGTCAGGAGTTGCAGATGAGCCTGGCCAACATGGTGAAATCCTATCTCTACTAAAAGTACAAAAATCTGCGGGGTGTGGTGGCACACTCCTGTAATCCCAGCTACCCAGGAGGCTGAGGCAGGAGAATTGCTTGTACCCTGGAGACGAAGGTTGCAGTGAGCGAGGTGGAGCCACTACACTCCAGCATGGCGACAGAGCGAGAATGCCTCAGTATTCATATTTTTAAAATAAAAATCACCAACAGAATTTAAAAATAAGATTACTAAAAACATATAATGATTTTCAATGATTTTCAGTATACTGAGAAAACAGCTCATCAAACCACAGACCATGATACCACTATTTTAATGTGAAAACTTTTTGTGACAGAATTATTCATTCACAGAAACTGTTGAGCAAATTATTTATCTCTTTGCCACAGAGAAATCAAAATATGTGTTTCCCCTGTGCTAATGGTGTGGTATGATTGTCACAAACTAAAGAACCCTCAATAGAAATATGGCCCTACTATCTAGCTACTGTTGGAAATAGCAGCTTCACATCAGCTCCTTTAAAATTAACACTACAACCTTTTATTCAGCTGTCCTCTGCTATTTAATTGGCATCTATTCGACATCTCCATGTCTGGGTCAGATTTTTTATTTACCTAGAAATACATTGTGTGATTAATTTATTCTGGCGCCTTTAGAGTAAGTTGAGCCGCAGAAAAGTAGATGTCTTTTAGGTAAAATGTAGTGTTTTAAATAATGAATATGATGCTAGATTGGTCACATCTTTTTCTAACTTTTTTTTTTTTTTGAGACAGAGTCTTGCTCTGTTGCCCAGGCTGGAGTGCAGTGGCGCGATCTCAGCTCACTGCAACTTCCGCCTCCCAGGTTTTCGCGATTCTTCTGCCTCAATCTCCTGAGTAGCCAGGATTACAGGCGCCCGCCACCACGCCCGGCTAATTTTCGTATTTTTGGTAGAGATGGGGTTCCCCATTTTAACCAGGCTGGTCTCAAACTCCCAACCTCAAGCTTCCGTCTCCATCTCCCATAGTGCTAGGATTACAAGCATGACTCATCGTGCAGGCCTGTTTTTAACATTTTAAAAATAAAATTCTTCATGGCTTTTCTCTGCAGTGCTGAACTTTGAAGCTTTTTATATTTGTTTGTCCTTATGTTGGACAAAGCTGACCCAAATGTACTTTCAGAGGGAAACAATACTTGGCTCAGACAGCTCTCACTAAACCCATTTACTTGAATAACTTGGTTGTGAGAGTCTTGGTTAAGTTCCTATATAGAACAGAGTTGAACTTTAATACTGTGTCAGCTTGGTAGACCACAAAATATGTAAACCTGTTTTGTTTGATGAACAACAATCACCATTTTACTCAAGTATCAACAGCCTGGGGCTTTTTTTCAGTTAACTAATTTCCTTAGGTTGTCACAATTCTACAACTGAAGGAAGTCAAAGAGCAATGGAGCAGTAATCTTATGTGACACGATTTGATCCCTGAAACAAATGTTTTAATTTTTTTTGTAAATGTACATGAGGCATATAGAAAAAAATGTTAATTTTTTCTAAAGTCAATAACCTGAAGTTATTCACAAGTGTTATCTTTCAAACAGAATTATGTCATCGTGTATGGTATTCATTGAAGAGTTTGCTTATGTCTGTATAGAAATATTAGGTGAGTTACACTCTAGATTTCTGGACTTCAATATCCACTATAAGGTGGTAAAAATAAACCAGCCCATATCATTGAAATGTACCAACTTTTGACTTTATTCTATTAAATCAAAAGAATCATTGTTCTTTACATGTGTTATATCTTTAAAAGTTCTTATTATTTATTACAGCATGACAAAATGACAAATTATTCTAAGGAATGGAATAATGCATATTTTTATGCATATATCCAGTAAAAATAGATTTTCACATTTAAAGTGCTGTATATACACTAATTACTCCTTATAATTTTCCACTGAAAGAAGCAAGCACCACAACTGTTATTTTAGAGGTGAGACACAGAAAGGCTTAACTCACTGGCTTACTGAGGCATAATGTAGAGATCGTGCTCAGGTTAATTGTCTATATTTTGTTCTTATTTGTTCTTTGGCAACCCCCTATCAGTAGCTGTTCTCATCAATAGATTGAAAATTAAATAATTTTGTATGTACAGTTGCATGTTTTTCTCATTTTAGCCAAAATTTAACAATATAAATATGAATAACTTACCTAATCAATGAAATATGATTTCAAATAAAACAATTTACATAGGGAAACCTCATGGTGTGATGCAGACTCTCAAGAAGCTGTTGCTTATATACATTATATACTGTACCAAACTTATTTTTGTGCTTCTAACATCGCATAGATTGAATTTACACTGCAAAAAGACTATATAATTACAGCTGATATGGCATAATAAACTTGAATTTTAAGCTAACAATAGATATCTTTTACTTTCTTGTGCAATTTATAGAAATTAAAACTAAAGTTAAATGCATTATCCTAATAAATTAGTCTCACATTACTGTGCCATTAAGTTATTATTCTTGTACTAAAGTTGCAGAGCATTGCCTACTGTCAAAAAAAATTAGGTTACCTGGGGATGAATATTCTCTAATGGTAAGATCACCAGATGGCAGTCATGGGTGAGCCCCAGTTTCTATTCTTGGAACCACCTGATACTGCCCAGCCTAAGCTTCTGCAAGTCATTCTAGCCATCTTCACTTTTGTTTGTTCAATTGTAAAAAAGAGAGTTCAATTCAATACATATTTTTGATCACTTATTAGCAAAGTAATATGAAAGCAATTCGGGGACACAAAAACAAATGAAAGATAAATATCCCCCTTAAGAGATGACATGCTTAGTGGCAAAAGCATTATAAAAATTATTATTCTAATCAAATGCATATTATTTGTAGAATTTCAAGAGTAGTAATTACTTTCAGGTGGTGAGGTCACTACAATTTATCTAAATGCTTCCTCCTCTAGCTAGGGCAACAATGTGAGCAAAGGCTTAGAACCTGACAAGCGTAGGATGTGCAAGAATGGTGGTGATATTCAGGAACTAACTTGTGAGAGTCTTTGAAGGCCAGGTTAAGAAGTTTGAATTGTTTTCTCTAAGCAATGGGTAGACATTGAAGGTTTTAATAGGGAGATTTAAGTGATGGTCTGATCTATGGCTGCTGCTGTTGGAAGATGCTGTAAGGCTGTTGTAATTGGTGGCTCTGCGCATATGGTGAAAGTTGAGCTTGAGAGGTCTGAACTATGCAGATTATATATAATATATATATTATATATAAAAATATATGTGATAATGTTATATATTATGTATAATATATGCAATTATATATTATATATAATATATGTAATAATATATAATATATTATATAATATAATACATAAACATATATATATATGTTTCCCAATTTCTGAAATATCTAATACCTTTTTTTTTTTTTCTGAGATGGAGTCTTGCTCTGTCGCCCAGGCTGGGTTGCGATGGTGCAATCTCAGCTCACTGCAAGCTCCGCCTCCTGGGTTCATGCCATTCTCCTGCCTCAGCCTACCAAGTAGCTGGGACTACAGGTGCCCGCCACCATGCCTGGCTAATTTTTTGTCTAGTAACTATTTTTACATATAAATATAGATAGATATGGGTATATAGATAAGGATTGACAATTTCAGTATAAATGTGAGATACGGAGGAGACAATTACTACTTTACCACTTATGTAGAGGCTTTCTAAGACTTCTATAAATCAGTTTTAAACTCTTCAAAATAATGATTTTCATGTGACTGTAAATTATAAATATTTCTAACTTCTATCTCATGTAACAATAGGGGATATTTTCTATTTTGAAACTTTTTGTTTCACTATAAGCATTACTAACTCATTTAATTCAATGTTTCTGCTAAAATTTCTCAAGTTTTTTCTTGACTAAATATAATGTCTCTAACATCATTAGGATGTGAAGTCATTATGTTCTTATGAGTGAGTGACAATTTGATAAATTTCTGGACAATCCTATACACGTATACAAGTATATTTGGCTGCCCACAAATATAAAGATGACAGGAAGACATTTTGAAAGGTAAAGACCTTTATTTTATTTAAAGAAAATCCATTGAAGCATGAGAGAATGATGCAATCGAACCCTGCAGTAATATGAACAATTCAAGTTTTAAGCTATAGCGACAGGCAAAATCTGTTCTTAAAAATGATTTCTTTCCAAATAATGCCCAATTCTTCTGTATGTAGTATCCATACCTACGTGTCTTAGTTGTGTTTCTGTTGGTCATATTTTGTTTATGTCTAAATCTATAGATAAATTCACTTCTCAGGGTACAAGCTTTGTCTTTTTATATTCCACACAATATTTAGGAGAGCTCTTAGAATCAGAGAAACAGGAATTTTAAGGGACTCAGGAGGTAATCTATTCTAACCTCACACACACATACCACACACATACACACACCTTTTTGTGATGCTCCTGACTTCTGATTCTCTTGTTTATCTTTGAAAATGCACAGTGGGCTCACTCTGTTCCAGCGCACCCCATCTCATTGTTGGGCAGCTCTCAGGATTAGAAAGTTCATCATTCAATTGAACTGGAAGTTGCCTCATTTTAATTCCTAAACATTGGCTCTTTCCTTTCCTGAGAAACATAGGTGTCTAATCCTTCTTTCACATAATAAGATTTCAAATATTTGAGGAAAGCTGTTGTGCCCTGTAAGAAAGCGAAAAGCACATAAGAGTAGTTTAAATTGTCAGGTTTGTTATGTCCTTTTGTTTGTTTTTTAATTTGCTTTTTAGCGAAAAACCCCCAGAAAATTGAGATTCACTGTTTGTAGAGAGAATGTTTATCATTTCCTACCGCATTAATGTGAGGTGACTTTTCCTTACCAGAAAATTTCTGCTGAAATTTCTTATGTTTTCAGCTGACTTGTATGTGTGTGTATATATAAATATATATATATACACATATATATATTTTAATTACACTCTTTTCAAGCATTCCTATTAAGGATTAGGGTGACCGTAAGGAAAACAAATAAATGAAATTCAACTAATATTATTTTGCCTTTTAATTGCTACTTACTTAATATCATAATTAAAATTTACTCTTAAAATGTATTCACTCTTTCAAGCTTGCTAAATTTTAACATTGGCATAAGAGTTGGAGAAATTTTTCCCGATCATTAAAACGTAATGAAAAGGAAAGGGGAAGATAGAAGATTGGCTTATTAGAGGATAATGCATCAGTTTCAGGAAATAGGGACAACAGTACATCATTTGTGTCATACGTTTTAGTTTACTGTGTGATTCTAGACACAAGAGATTGTTGTTAAAACTCGACAATAACAGCAACATCAACAATACAACAAGCAAACTTTTTTTTAGTGGGCAAAGGACTTGAATAGGCATTTCTTTTGAAGAAGATATACAAATGGACAATAAGTAAGTGAAAATATGATCAATATCACTAGTCATTAGCAAAATGCAAAACAAAACCACAATGAGATAATACTTCACACTCATTAGGATGGCAACTGTAAAAACAATACATAACAAATGAACACAATCCAGAAAATAACAAGTGTATGTAAGGATGCAGAGATACTGAAAGCAGTGGTACAGCCACTGTGGAAAGTTGTATCGTCATATTTCAAACAATTAAACATAACATTACCATATGATCCAGCAATTACATGTCAGTGCATGCACCCCCCGAAAAGTGAAAGCTAGGACTTTCTCAGATATTTATATGCTCATTATTCCCAATAGACAAAAGGTGGAAGCAACCTAAGTGTTCATCATTGGATGAATGGATAAACAAAATGTGGTATATAAATACAGCAAAACATTATTCAGTTTTTTAAAAAGAAGGAAATTCTGACATGTGCTACAGTGTGAATTAACATTGAAGACATTATGCTAAGTGAAATAAACAAAAGACAAGTTGCATATTCCTCTTGCACGATGTTCCTAGCATAGCCAAATTCAGAAAGAAGGTGGTTACCAAGGGCTGGTGGGAGGAGAGAATGGGGAATCATTCATTGTTTAGTGAGTTAAGAGTTTAAGTTTGAAGTGCTGAAAAAGTTCTGGAAATGAATGGTGGTGACAACAATGCGATGTTTTAATGTCCACAGTGCTACAGACCTGTGCACTTTAAATGGTTTAAGTGGTAAATTTCATATTATATATATATTTTACCACAATAAAAAATAGATCATTGTTTAATGAAATAATGAAGTATTACAAGAAGCGGAGTAACAAGAGTAAAAAAGCCTCTGATAAAAAATGTGCGTCACATCCAGCAACTGTTACATAAATGACACCACAGTTTATCTGAGTTATGTCCTAATCTTTTTTTTTTTTTTTTTTTTTTTTTTTGAGACGGAGTCTCGCTCTGTCGCCCAGGCTGGAGTGCAGTGGCGGGATCTCGGCTCACTGCAAGCTCCGCCTCCCGGGTTCACGCCATTCTCCTGCCTCAGCCTGTCCTAATCTTTTGATACATGGAGCATTAGAAGAGGGAAATGGTCAAGAGGAGAAATCAATAACATTTAAAGTGTGGTCCAGGCCAATGTGCAATCTTGATAGGTCTATTTAATGGGTTTTGAAAGGTTGCCTTAAGCATTCTAAGAAAGGTTTTGTCTTTATCATGCAATAGGCTGCGCTGTCACTTTCAAATGGTACATGCACTTCCAGCAGCCATACCCTCTCACCAACTCATAAATATTATCTATAGATTTATATCTAGCTTTCTTTTGATATTTATGTTTTCTGTTAAACAGGTATTGCCTTTATCCTTAGCTTGTATAAACTAAAGCAAAAATAGGTCAATTCTATTGGGAATAATTTTGAAATGATAACTTTGAAACAGTTTCATTAAATGAGATTCTTTTAGATGAATGTCAGAAACCTCACTTTTTTTCTATCAGTAATGTGCAGTTTGCTTTGGGGTTTTATAATTTTCTAAAACTGAAGACTTGATTGCTTTGGGGAAATTCAGATGCAGATTTTACCTTGAAGAGTCAAAAAGCATTGCTAAATGATGGATCAAGTGTAATGGGATTAAGGATTTTTTCCATCCTTTTTATATTAATTACCCATCCATAAAGAGAGAAACTAATCACCCTGTCCCTGACTAATGCTCTGTAGGCTTTTGGTATCTGTTTGATGAAACTACTACAAAAGATAAAGCTGGAAAAATTATTTTCTACTTTAGATATGCATATAACACTAGAGTTGGCAGGATTTGAGTTTCTGAGACCAAATGAGTATGAAGTGATGAAATGCCAGCCACATTCAGAGAAGCAAAACTTAACAGCTATCTTTGATGTTAAAAATAAGTGTGATAAATGTGTTTCTAAAACCAACATCTTAATGCCCATTAATCAGGCTCTGCAGGCATAAAGCTGTGGCCACATGAACTTTGGCTGAAGATGAATATATACATCGTCAGGATGTTATGAGCTCACTCCCTATCCATAGCAAAAGTGTGTCTTGCTTAGACCTAAAAAATACTAGGAGAGAGAAACAGTGCAAGTCTTTAATATAACATGAATATTTGTTCATTTGATGTGACTCACTTTTATATAAAGACAATCATTTTACTTTTTGCAATCATTCCCTTATGCAAATCCATCTTCTCTAAAACTACCTGGGGAGAAAATAATCCAGTAGCAACTCCTAGTACGGGGCAGTAAGTTCTCTGTGTATATGAGTGAATGGTCTTCTATATTCAAGATATTTTGTGTTAGTATGTGTGTTTTTTTCCTCCAGTGGGGAGTCAAAATTTAAATTTATTGAAATATTTTTATGATCGTTTATACCTTTAATTTTATTTAGCGTTTGAAAGTTGGAACAAGAAATAATAAGTTTACACTTTTATAGCAAACCCTATAGGTAATTTCAACTAATGGAAATTAAAATGATCATATAATATCTTAAAATTATCTATAATGTATAAAAATAGACATATAGAAAGTCTAAATATGAATGAAAATGATAAAAATAGAGAGCTTGAAACAAGGTGACTGCAGAAAACCCAAAAATGTAGTTAATTGTATAAATGTAAATATTTTAAGCACTAAAAATAATGACTGTAATTGGATTGAAAAAAATTTAATATGCTACTTACAGTAAAATAACCCAAGGTAAAATTATATCTAACATAAAAAGTAAAAAGATGATCACTTTTCTTAAGCACCATACAATACTGTTGGATGAGTAGTGTATCATGCCATATCTTCTAAGAGAAATAGAAAAGCCGTAGTTGTCACATGAAATTTTAATCTAATATTGTTATATATTATGAATATACACACTACAAGAACACTGTGTGGGGGAGAAAAAAGGCGGATAATCCAATTATTGAATTTAGTACAATTGTACTTACATACAAAGTTTTGTACATTAAGCATGCAATATGATTCCTAGTATGCTCATGATTAGATATTTAATATTGGAGATGCAAATAATTTTCTGTACTACTGTTCTGAAACAAATCTTCAATCCTATATGTAGCTTGATGCAATCTGGGATTAACAACAACAAATGTATATAATGCTAGGAGGTATTATAAATAAATATAGAAGTCAGTTTTCCTTCATATATATGGGTTAAGCATTAAATATAGCAATTTGGCTAACGCATATTTCAATGACTCAAATTAAAATTATTTGCCTAGGCAGCCCAAAGAAATATGATCTACAGAATATATTTTTTATTTTATTGAATTTTTATAATTGGTACACATTATACATGATATATAAAAACAGTACTTAAACATTGATATATAAAAATATTATTTGGGATAAACCCTTGGAATAAGCTTTAGATTATTAATAAATTGTTTGTTGAATTGCTTTCTTTACTACATCTTTTTGGAAACATTTAAAGCCTATTAGTCTCAAAAAGTACACTGTACTGTTTGTAAAAAGTGAGAAAGAAGATAAATTTAGAAGTTCTGACAATGGAGGCCCATGTATTACATACTTTCTTGATTCTGGAGGTACTGAATAAAAGTCTGTAGAAATATGCACTGAGATATTTATTTTGGTCATGTTTAAAATCAGAAAATTCAAGTTGTAGTACAGTATCTTTTGAGATAGACTATTATTGAAATAAGTGAATTTAAACTACTTGGCGTTGTTTTTTGAATATTTACGTCGATCCTATTTGTATATGTTAAATCATTCTTAAGTTATAAAAAATGTAAAAATACGTGAGTCTACTTAAACCTCAGGTTTAAGTAGACTGAGTACGTTTACTTCTGAAAGTTCTCTTTTGGTTAACAAAAGCTTCAATAACTTTACTCCTACAAAAGTAGTATAGCACCTATTTTCTCCATTATACTTGGAATGCTACAATTGAATGATAAAAATAAAACTTAAAATTATACTTTTGAATGAAGAACATTTTACTTAACACGTCATCAAATTATACTATACATCTCCATGACTACATAAAATGAAACCAACATGATTATAATTTTCCTAATAATTTAATCATTATTACTGAGGTATAAGTGAAAATACAGTGATGCATTAAGCAGCTAGGCAAGTGTCTAGATGTCTTCTCCATATATTGCTAAGGTGTTTGAATGTTTACCTGTGTTCTTTTCAGTTTCTCCTTATAATTTTCTGACTGTCTTTCAATTTATCCTAAAACCTGCAGTGAATAAGATGATTAATATCAGCATTCTCCCCTTTCTAGATGGTGCTTCCAATCAATAGGGAACACAAATATCCAAATTTGTGTGAATTTAGTACAATTTTTAAAAGTGTGTATATGTATAAAGAATGTGACTTCTTATAATGTGCATGAGATTTAATATATGACTTTGATAACAACTGTCTGGCTCTTTAAAGGGGTTTTTGGTTTTTGCTTTTTTTTGGTATGTTTCTTTTATGTATTTGTGATATGTAGCAGGAAATCCTTTTTTTTAATATGAATGCAAGATCAGTACAAAAATTACAATTTTCTACATTATCTCTTTTCTCTAAATTTTTCTGAATATGCAACTTCTGGGGTCATATTATTAAGGTACTATTTAATTAAGAGTAATAGAAAATATTCAGGATGAGGAAGTATCTATTTCAAATTCGTATATTGAGGTCTTTAAAACATGGTTTTTGGATAGATTTTTTTCCACAAGTGCTTAGACCCAGCTGGTAGAATAACTATGTATAACACATCTGAAACACAACTAAATTTAGTTTATTATTTTGAATAAAAATGCGAAGCCAACCTTTTTAATATTTATGTTTACATTATCTTTTTCATTTAATAGGATGTTAATATGACCAATTGCACAAGTGCACCCTCATTTATTTGAGAGGATTACTTTAGTACCTTTTCATATTTATAGTCCCATAAATATTTACTAAGCACGTATTATATGCATAAAAATGCTACAGGCACTGGGGATACAGCAGTCTATAAAATATAGGCCTGGAAATATAGACAAGTACATAAGAAATTATTTATTGATATTATGTTATATAAAAATCTTTTACATTCAAATTGGGCTTATTGAATATAAATAAAATAAATAAGTAAAATATATAGTAGGTTATATACTGCTGTGTCTTATTGGGAAGATGATTTTTGATACCTGAAGAAATTACAGAATTGGCAAAGATACTTTCAGGTTAAAAAAGGGGAAAAAGGCAGAGCAGTGGCTCATGCCTGTAATCCCAGCACTTTGGGAGGTTGAGGTGGGTGGATCCCTTGAGGTCAGGAGTTTGAGACCACCCTGGGCAATGTGGCGAAACCCTATATCTACTGAAAATTTAAAAATTAGCCAGGCTTGGTGGCTTGAGCTTGTAATCCCAGCTAATTGGGAGGATGAAGTGGGAGGATGGCTTGAGACCAGGAGGTGGAGGTTGCAATGAGCCGCGGTAGCGCCACTGCACTGCAGCCTGGATGAAAGAGTGAGACCCTGTCTCAAAAAGAAAAAAAAAAAAAAAAAAAAAAAGAGAAGGAGAAAAAATGACCACCCTACCTTCTCTCTTGTCCACTTCTAAAGACTTAAATGCTATTTACTCTTAATTTAAGTGTTTAGTTTTTGCTATTACTATCTATAATTCACAAAGTTCTGCAGGATTTCTAATGTATTAATGGAAAACATTCTCCACACAAACAATATCTATATCAAAATATAGGAATGGATAAATGAATGTTGTTCTGATTAAAAGTAAAGAATGAGAATATAATTTACATTTCTGGAATATAAAGCTATGTTTTCTGATAGGAATCAAGTTTTTATTAATCACACAATACTCCTTGAAATGTGATCCACAAAAAAGTTTTGGCTGACATAGAGACGTGTCCTTAGGGAATTAATGCTACTAATGCTTCCAGGTATAAGTGATTAGTCCCTAAAGGAGAATGTGATGAAGAAATTTTATGGAATTGTTAAGAGGAAAAACAGAGGGTCTGGGATTCATCTCTGAGAAAGTTATAAGTAAAGTAATGCACAGTGACTGAACAAAGAACTCCCAGAAATTCACTTGAGGAGCTTAAATGAACTCAGTGATTTTGAAGAGAATAAATTGATTAATAATATAAGAAATAATAGGATGATAATTTTATAAGAGCAAAGTAGAGCATGCATACAAATAAGCATGGCATATGCACATACAAATCAACCTATTTGACAGTTGTGATGTAACTTAAATCTTTTATGTGACTAAAGATCTTTAAAAATTATCCTTAGAAACCCATTTTGTGGTTAATTCTTTTATTCATTTAGTTAATCAATAAAATGCTATTGAAAGGCATCTAAGTGGTAGATGCCATCCTCATGTTGGGGATAAGTTGAGAAGAGGATGTTGTCTTTCATTGAGATGAAAAAAGTAATTAAACAATAAAAAGTAGTATTTGTTAGAAAACTGAAGTGTAATATGAGATAAAGTCACTCTGGAAAGCCTAGTTTAGTCTGAAGAGTAAATGAAGCTCTTTCTGAGAATCTGCCATGTAAATTGAGAATTGAATATCAAGGTATCACTTTTTGGAAAACTTTAGCGGGGAAGTTTCTCTAAAAATAAGGGCATATTTAGTGTAAATTTAGTGCAGGCTCACTGAGGTTTCTACACAAGCAAGTTTGCATTTACTTCATTCACTATTTTTTCAAATGTTCATAGAGATATTGTAAAGAAGTCTACCCACAGAGATTTTTTTCCCATTGATTTATTTAACAATAATTTCCCTTATTATACCTTATTGTTATATATCTCTCTCTATATATTATATATAGTTTTAATACTTTTTAAATATACTTTTTAAAAAAACATTGCCCTTAATTTACCGTGTAAGAATTGTAAAGATAATGATGGTGATATAAATCGATATGACTAAAAGAAGAATTGAAAGAAGATATATATTCTTTTAATATATTATAATTTATATTGAATAATATTTTATATATTAAATCACATATATCTTTATACATATAAATTATGCATATTCAAATATACATTTATCAATATTCCTAGGACATTAAAGTTACATTGCATCTTCTAAATTGAATGCAAAATTAGTGGCAAATCTATAAATAGAAACACGATATATGCATAACTTCAAGTATCCTCCTTAAAATATTAATTACAGTGGTGCTTTTAACATACATCCACAATTTAACATACTACCTTCTCCAGGGGGAGGAGCTTAATCCCTCTCATCTTCAGTGAGGGCTGAAATTAGTGGCTCACTTCTTATAGAATCTGGAAAGGGATAATAAATTTACATTTCAGAAACCTGGAAGAGTCTACCTTAACTAAATCATCCAATTTAACCAGTAATACCATGTTGGCATCTTGTACCCCATAATATAATGAGATATGCTATGATAAAAAAGGAATTTCACCTTGTGGTAGTCTTTACTAAAATCTACAATTCTTGATCGTGAGAAACATCAGACAATCCCAAATTGAGGGACATTCTACTATGTACCTTCAAAAGTGTTGATGACAAGGAATCACAGATTAGAAGAGACTAAGGAGATGAGGTAACTAGATGTAACATTGTATGTTAGCTTGGACGGAGGAATATAAAATTTAATTTTGATAAACATACTATCATTATGTAAAAAGCTAACATCGGGGAAACTGGGTGAATAGTTTATAGAACCCTATATACGGTTGCATGTCTCTTGTAAATCCAAAATTATTTCAAAATAAAACATTTTAAGGATTATGAATTAAAATTATCAGTTGTCTTATTGTGCTTGTCTAAAGTGCTTTTAAATTTCCAATTCTCTGTATATTTTTTCTTGTAAAATTCTCATTTTTAATCTGCAGTGAAGTATTAACCTATCCCTGATAACACTTGCAAGTATTACGTTGCTCTTTAGAATTCAAGTTGTTTTATTTTAATTTTAGTGTCTTATGTTTAGACTGTATCATTTATTGCTATGCAAAAAATCAAGTGAATACAATTCAATTATGTAAAATATTACATGAAGATAGCTCTAAAAAGTATGCTATGCATAATTGCAATTTACACAAGATGCCCTCTGAATCTCCTTTCCAGATGATGTAAATAAAATGATACTCTCAAATTAATACTAAGCTTTTCAGAGATTGCATCAGTGATGTTAAAGTAGGATTAAGGCATTAGAGGCTAAAATCTGTCAAGTATGGTTATGCATCTGAGATTCATTTACTGCACAATGAATGCAGTTTTATTTTCCACAAAAATTCACTTATAAAAATGAATGCTGTAGTTGATTGTTAATGCCAGCAAAGATAAAAATAGAACACATTTTGCAATACATTCTGTTGTTCTTATTTGTAATTGTGATCCTGAAATATTATCCTATAAGAAAGCATGAAAAGATAATAAATTTAACACATTTATTTAAGGAATTCACAAAGAAAAAAAACACGCAATATGTTCCATTTCAATGTATTATGTAGCTGAGTGCTGAGAGGAGCCAGTTGCACAGTAATTTCTAAGCCTGAGACACTTTCTAACCTGCTGATTAACCCCATCCCACCAGTGCCTTCAGAACGCTCTTTCTGCTGAGACAGCTATTTGATTTCATCGTGATTTTGTATATGTTTAGATTTGAAGTAACCAATCTCTTCATAAATCTTACTATTCCATACAAAGTTGAGCTATCCAGCACATTATGAAAGGAACAATACTGACCTATGAAGTATTAATACTCATTAAAGACTTGAAGATTGCAAAGTCTATAATGCAAGGCGAATTTGTAGAACATAGCTCCAGAATAAGGAATGGAGTATTTGTCTTACTATTGTGACAGGGATGATAATGTAAGAGAATGATGCAACTCAATGCAATTAATTTAATAAGCATTAACTCAGTGGGATCAGAATTTTAGAAAAAGTAAAGGCTTTGCCATTTATTCATAAAATAAGAGATAAGTTAAAATATTGAGTTATATAGCAAAATGACATGAACAAGAATAAAAATGGTTAGATCATTAGGTGTTTGAATGACAAGATGTCCAGAAAACTGTAAGCAGGTGATCAAGGAGTTAAGAAGTGAGTTGGGAAAGTAAGATGTCACAGAAGCCAAGAAATGAGAGTAGTTAAGATGTATGTGTGAGAGGCAAACACAGCATGGAAGTTGACAAAGATAATAAATGAAAAAAAATTGATTTTTTGATTGAGAGATTATGTGACCTTTGATACAACAGATTCAGTAGATTTGTGAGTGTGTTTCCTAATGGTTAAGAAGCCAGTGGTGGTTTGCAAAGAACTGCAGAAGTAGGCAACTCTTTTGGTAAGTGGGACAATGCAGAAAAGAACAATTGTCCTAACACCAGCATTTCTGTAACTTCTGATTATCTTCTAGGGCTGAGAAATGACCTAATACTTATTGCATTTTTTTTCCTTTTTGAAATGAAAATATGCAACTTTAAAAATATTACTCTGCTTATTATTTTTAGTTCTTTAAACATTTGCTGAATTTCTACTATGTGCAAATTATAGTCATAGGCATTATATGTGATGCTAAAATGAACAAGACATGCTCTCTTTCCTTAGGAAAATATATTTTAAAAGGAATTTGAGACATGTCGATAAGGAATGTAGGGTAAAGTAGACCTTGCTCTGAAAACAATATTCCTCATAAGCACTCATGAGAGATAAACACCTAAATAAGTTAGCTGAATCAGATTAGGAATAACTTAACATCATGCTGTAGAAAATGAAGCTTATTGTATAGATAGGAGTGCATTGCTTGTGATAGTAAGAAATTCTAATTTTTGCATTAGTGAAGAGTCTAGAAAATAGAATTTGTCAAGATAAATATCCTAGACCTTAGTTCTTCACTGTTAGGGGGATAAACTCTCTTCAAAACTTTGCATTGCCTTGAATATTATGTTGGGCTTTGCTTTAAATTAAGGCAAAGCAGCTGCCTTTGTGGAATACTCAGTAGTACAGACATAATCAGTACTTTGAAACATCCTTACAAAGTGCTAATGCAATAAGGTCCCTATAAGAGAAATGTAACCCTAGCTCCAAGATAGATGACAGATAGGGTATTATTTTTGACATTTCTGAGACAATATATTGCAGCACTCTTCTGAGTCCCAAGATAGGAAAAATAGAACCCACAAGGCTTCTCTGTAGAAGATGCCCTATCTTTTTTTGGCTGGGATAAATCTGGAGACAGTTCCCAGCAGCACTATGACTAATGTTCTTGGAAGGAATCATCTATATATTGATCCAAATAACGAATATTTATTTCAAGATTGGCATCTAACTACTCTTTCTGTTCCTTGGGAAACAAAAAATGAAAAAAAAAAATGATGGTCCTTATTGGAAATAGGAACATATGTTTCCCAAAACATTTAGCAGCCTTTTGTATTATCTAAAGCAGGAGTGAATAAAATGTAATAAACAAAATATGTTCTTTTTCCCATATCATATGCAGCATAAGCACTTATATGTAGCATTTTGAAAGTTAAGTCCACATTATTTATCATAGTATGATATATAAGCTTATTCATAGTAGTAAGAATAATGACTTACCTTTAGACACACCATGCCACCCCACCATGTCTACTTCACACATTCCTTCCCTGGTTATCATGCTGATATTTTCTTGACAAGATGAAAAGAGAACACATTATTCTTGATTCTGTATGATGGAGCATGAATTTCCTCTACAATGGAGCCTCTGAGGATTTGGTTAAGAGCAATTGAAGAGCTGTGAACTGCACTTAAGGACCTTTAAAATAAAAGTCTTTAATAAACGGGAGTCATTTTGCTTCTTCAGCTGCTCTTAAGGATAGCAGCCCACAAGGGGAGAAAATACAAGAATGAGTGAATACTTAATAAATATTTGTTGAATTGAATTGGGTAAGTAATTGATTATTCTTCAACCGCAAAAGAAATTCTAGAGCTTTTCGAAGGAGATATTATGGCAATTTAGCTTGATCTATCTAGCATTAGAGTGCCAGGCAGGTGAAAGGTCCTGCCATGGTAAGGCAGCAGGCCTCAGCACGGAACTTGATATAGCACAAGTATTTGAATACTGTTCAGGAGACTGTAGTTGCTGGAAATTTAGATTGTTTTTTAAAAAGTATATTTTTAAACTAGAACGGAGACAACAGTTCCTGACACATAGTAGATCCTTAAGTCCATTATGAACGTTATTTTCTTTTCTTGCCTTTCAGGGTGGGAAATGAGACAAATTCCTCTGAAATTATCAAGCCTTGGGCATCCAGGAAAAAGTCTGTAATTGCCTTCCAGCACAATAGTGAAATGGTGCTCTTGGTCAAAAACTCAATTTTGAACAAAAACCTAAATGCCACATAATCTAAAACCCAAGCACTAACAAGCCAATAACACAATGACACAAGCAGGCTTTTTCTTATTTTTGTAAAGTATTTCATATTTTTTTCCTAGTAAGAAAAACTTGTAGATACATTTTAACCTTTTCAGGCATGTTTCTTTTGTTATACTCATTATAATTTATACCTTTATGTGGTATAAAGAAATAAACATTATACTGAAATACACAGGGCAGTGCTTCTAAAATATAGCACAATTGAAATTTTGAGCTGGATATTTCCTTCTTTTGAGAGCTGTAGTCTGCATCTTAGGATGTTTAACACCATCCCTGGCCTATACACACTAGATACAATAGTAGTCTCTCCCAGTCTTGACAATCGGAAACGTCTCCAGAGGTTACCATGAGCCCAGAGGGACAAAATTGCTCCTGATTGAGCAATCTTACCAATGCTAACTAATAAATTACATGTATATACTTCCAGTTAGTTGTAAGTGTATAATACAGATCTAAAAAGAACAGGTAATTTCTGTAAGGGTATATTTAAGAAAGGTGAGATTCCTTTGCTTTAATATGCTTTGAAAAAGTAGCCAAATGCTGTCGTTAATATTTCCTGAGTGATTAAACCATGAGGTTTTTCTGTATGCCTTTGTAAAATAATGCAAGTTCTTTTTACAGTGGACAACAATTATACCTCAGGCACTGGACTGGGGTCATTACATATATTATTTAATTCTGAAATAAACCAGTGTGTATAGAATGTACATTTCACAGTTAAGGAAATTGGTATGCAGAGGATTTACATTGTTCAATATCACACAGATAGAGCCCAAACCCAATTAATCTTCTAAAAATGGGTAGCCTCTCTTTGACAGCACAGTGCAATTGCATGGTTTTGGAAGCTGAGAGAAAATATTCTATCATGTCTATATTCTTTTGGCCTCTGACATGTATTAAAATTGATATTATTTTAATGATTTCTCAATATTTTGAATCTCTATACATTGAAAGTTTAAAACAATATAATATTAATGATTTTTTCCAAACATGTTTTATATTCTTGCGAGTCCTCTGAATAATATCAACTCAGATACAAAAAGAAACATCTCCTCATAAGTTTTTTTTAAATGGCTATACTAAACAATAAAACTATATGTAACTCTATTTGAGAGAAAATATTAGATGATATTATTCACTTGTCATTTTGTTTCTTTATCATTTAGTAAATTCCCAACTTGCTGGTTTATGAACCTCCTCTGGCCTGAAAGAGCCAAGGTAAATTGCAATTGGCAATTCTATAAAGAGATTATTTTCTTGCATGAGTAATATCAAAATTTAAAGTATAATTATTGTTTATTAAATGTCAACGTGGATTTTTACAAGTACATAAATAGAAACTCTTGTCTTTAAAAAAGGCACTTTTTCTTCAATTCTCTGTAGACTTTGAGAGTTTCTTAGGGTATTTTGTATAAACATATAAGGTACTTACTATATTTTATTGTAATAACAAATACTTTTTTTTCAAATTTCAACATACCTGAATTTGTGAAGTATCTTGTGAAGTCCTTGATGTATCAGAATTTAATTAGGAGTGTTTTCATCTTTTCTTATAAGTCAATAAAATTATAATGTAAGTTACAGTTGATGCTATCTTAGATTCTCACAATTAACAATGAAAGTTATTATCTAAATTATTTAACATATAAATTAATATTTCTAGAGTCAATATTTTCAGTGTAATGCTAGAAATATTAACTTATATGTTAAATAATTTAGGTAATAACCTTAATTGCTAATTGTAATTTTCATTGGATATGATTTAATTTCGGTGATAGAAGCCTATGGAATACATGTGATTTTAAAATGTTTTCAGCATAACTTTTATATGCTGTCATATTTTGACAGCTTATGCATTCTTATTTTTATTTTAGTGCTATGTTTATACACAAACCATTTGAAAGATACAAGATAAGCCTTTTCAGAAGTGTGTATATGTGACCAAAAAATGCTATGTTTCTATCAAATGAGCCTATTATTTCCAATAGTGGGCTCTTGTTCCCATGTAGGTACTCAAAAAGTATTTGACACAAAATTCAGAATGATAATTACAATGTCTATAATTATTTCTGTATTTGCTCAGTATATTTTCTGCCTAGTAATTATTTTTATAAATATAGCAATTTATTCTATTGATATATAGTTTGCATGATTCAACATTTCATATTTCATAATATATAGAATTCAAGTTGTTTTTTTTCATATTTATATGTTCATAAAAATATCCTGTGGGTGTCAATCAGTATAACCTAGTTTGAACAGGAATATTATTGTAGGATTACATTTCATTATCTCTCTTTTTCTAAGCGTGAAAATCCCTTGATATTATATCATTTAACTAAGTACTTTAAAAATGAAGAGCAGGCCAGGCGCAGTGGCTCACACCTGTAATCCCAGCACTTTGGGAGGCTGAGGTGGGCGGATCACGAGGTCAGGAGATCGAGACCATCCTGGCTAACACGGTGAAACCCCGTCTCTACTAAAAATACAAAAAATTAGCCAGGCGTGGTGGCGGGCACTTGTAGTCCCAGCTACTCGGGAGGCTGAGGCAGGCGAATGGCGTGAACCTGGGAGGAGGAGCTTGCAGTGAGCCGAGATTGCGCCACTGAACTCCAGCCTGGGCAACAGATTGTGACTCCGTCTCAAAAAAATAATAATAGTAATAATAAATAAATAAAATAAATAAATAAATAAATAAATAAATAGCGAGCAAATAGACGAAGGTTCTGAAGTTTGCATCTGTTGATACAGAAAGTAAGCTATTAATATTATATATATTCAAACTAATCACAATTTAAAGAATTAGCTGTAAGTGGAGCCATGTAGGATATATTTCATGCTTTTGATTTCTTGTGATTTGAAAGGAAGATGTTTTTCTCTGACAGATTACAGAGGATTTGTTATCAATTTTCCATTCCAGGAGTTGAAGTTGCAAGTTTTTTTTTTAAGTGACAAAGAGAAGGATCTTGAACCTTGAATAAATAATTTTTCATACCCAATAATCCAAAGCTAAAGTGAACCAGGGATTTGAGGCAATTATGTAGGTAACTGAATTTTAAATCAGCAGCTCATTTTGATAGAAAATCTTATTTTTGAACCCATAAAGAGAATATGTTGAATAATGTATATACATTTAGGTTCTGAAACAAATGATGTAAAACAACTTTGTAGGCATTACTTTGCCTGTCCTCCAGAAGCTTAGTATTTTAACAGAAAATGTACTGTTACGCCAAGATACAATAAATTTGAGATAAATTGAGTAAATGATGGCTGATTTTAAACAATTAACTTTTCTTATTTGATAATTCTGTGAGTCATGAATCAAGGCATTCTTTAGGGGGGACCTCCAGCTAAGAGGCTACCATGAAGTTGTAACCAGGGGATATAGTGGGGTTACTACCATCTCAGCTTAACTGAAGAAAGATCTACTTACACGCTCACTCAAATGGCTGTTGGAAAGCATCAGGACCTTGATGGCTGTTGTCCGGAGATATTATCAGTATCAGTTCCTTTCCATGTAAGAGTCTCCATAAGCAGCTTACACAAGGTAGCTGGTCTCCCTCATTTTTTTTTTTTTTTTTTTTTTTTTTAGTGTCTGCATGGATGAACCTAGCACTGTTTTCCCTCAGGAGCAACAGAGTGAGACAGACACCCAGTGAGGGAGAGCAAGACAAAATCCAGCCTTTCATAACCTAATCTCCGAAATGAAATCTGTTATTTTGACATATTCTGATCTTTAGAAACAATATCCTAGGTCTAGACCACACTCAAAAAATGAGGGGATTACAAAAATCTTGGAATCCTCAGAGTCTAGAATCACTGGGGATCATTTCAGAGGATACTTGCCCCCATGCCACCAGTTTTCAATAGGATGTGCTTGTTCACTTCTAAACCTAGAACGTATTTTTCTTCTCTCCTTTTTGTGGCTATGTCATTCCCCCCTTAATAATCATATTTTGGTCTTCTCTTCATCACATCTTTTTTTCATATTCTGAAAGTTTTATAACCACACTTTCTCATTCATCTTAAATGAGAGTTAGTAGGTACATTCCTTTGTTTGCTGAAATTGGTACTCTTGGCCATATGAGAAGTATAGTGTTATGAAACTCTATGGCTGTGTTGTGGTTGGATTTAAAATGAATTAAGGAAATTATTCAGTAAAATTTGCCTATGACATTATATTATTCCCCAAACTCACACAAAATCAATATTTGCTGAGATTTAAAAGAAAGGCGATAATTTTGAGCAGGACCCTTTTAGAGGTGACAGATAATAAGGAGCAGTAGAATAATATTAAGCAAATTAATGTACATCAATCCGAATCTCTGAATGCAATAAGGGAACATGCCCTCCTATGTGCTGCTGTCCTCAACTTGTAGAATGTAGTGATTATACTTTCTTACCGAGTTCATAAGTTTTAATTTCCCTTGATGAACTAGGATTTATTGTTCTCATAAAGTTTTCTTAATAAATGCAATGAGATTGGTAACTGAGACAATTAATTAGTGAAGTACATGTAAAATCCCTAGTGTTCATTTAATTTGATCTTTAGAAAAGAATCAAAATACAGATATGTAAAGAGGTATAATGTATAGCAACTTTTTTATTTCAGTATTTTATTTTAAAAAAGGAATGGGTGTAGTTCATTTTGCTTTGTAATTAGCATAGATGAATGATATTCTGTTGGCAAAATATATTAAATAAATAGAAGTCTTTAGTACAGATGTAGGCCAGGTAGCTAATAATTATCTTTGGAAAATTAATAGCAATATAAAGTTACATCCTCCTAACTATTCCCTCCTTCCTTACTATTTTATTTAAATATAACTGAATTCAAAGTTTCATTCTTTATCCATTTTCATTTATTCATATACCATTAGAAAAATCATAACTTATTTTTGAGTCATCAACAGTAAGGAACTCACTTTTATAACAAATATATATTGCTTATAATAATCATATGATATAGTAAATTAAATATAACTGTAGGAAACGTTTATTAACATTTACCATATGTCAGAGAAATTTTTAAAGGTTTTACTAATATTAATATTTAGTCTTCAGTACAATGCTTTGACAAACATTTGTTATAATCCCCACTTTTAGATGAAAAAAATTGGGACACTAATAAATTACATAATTTACTCAAAGTTGGGATTGTGAACCTGTCAGCAAGTTTGGCTCCAAATAGATGACGGTTTGACTGCAGTCACAGTGTCTAATGTAAACCAGCAGCTCTAATTATAAACACCATCAGAGAAGGGGATCCACTATACATCCAAATAGTTGTCAAATACATAAACAAAGGAATAAGTGAGTGTATTAATGTTCCATCTGACAGCTGGGGCACAAATCATCCCTGAATTCAGAACCCTGATAGGCAATGATGATCTAATTTGTTCAAATACCAGTCATCAGATACAATGTTTTGTTAATTTCTGGAGGTGTTTATTCTAAACTAATTCAAAGCCTGTAGTTTTCAGAAGGCTTCCACATGTAGGGTCAGCAACCTCATCTTGTAGAACTGCCTCTGAATAGAGAGTAATAAGATGAAACAGTTGTGTGTGTGTGTGTGTGTGTGTGTATTTTTTTAACCACACAAAGCTCAATCCAACTCTGTTGGACAATGTCTCATAAACTCAGTTGTTCAAATGAAATAAAATTTTACCTGTAAAATGATATATTTATTGACAACTTATAATAAATCATTCATAGTAAAAAAAAAAGACATCAAATTGTCTAGAAAGAAGCATAGAGATTAGGGGCCTGTCAAATCAACTTTATGGTGTACTAAATGGTGTAATTAGGACACACAAAATTTAATTTTCAAGATATGAAGCAGCTCTTTACTGGAAGATTCTAATGCTTCTTCCTCAACATTTAAATAAAAGTCTTAGAATTCAATTATTTGGTAAACACAGCACTCATCTTTCTCTTTAGCTCAGTAGTGGATTTCTGTATGTCATGTTGACATTAAGATAAAGACATATATTCTAGACCTTATTTTTAAAAAATTGTTCTCTTAGATGTTCACAAGAGCTCATCTTTCCTTAGCCATTGCAAAGACAGCTTACTGAACACCTGCCATGTGCTAAGTGCCTTGAGCCATACCCGGTGAGATACCAAGAAGTGGAGAAGTAGGAAGGAACCCCAAAAAAGTCTTAAAAGTGAATATATATATATGTACATATACACACACATATATATGAATTCATATATATATATATATATAAAGTTTAAAAATAGTAACCTATAAAAAATCCATAAAAATGAAGATCAATGTGAAATGGGAAAAATTGGAAAGATTTGTGCGGGAGGTGGGAAGTATGATTTTTATCTTGCTACTTAAAGTACCAGACTGACATGGAGCAAGAGAAAAGGTGTAACTACAAGATTTAACTTACTACAGGGTTAATGTTAGATAACAGAGAAATAAGATGGGTATATTTACAAGGGCCTTAAAAAGTCCAAATTTGACCAAGGTGATCAAGACAATAGAGAAATATTACAGATTCTTTTAAGATTAAAACAGCATTTAAGGAGATTCTTCTGGAAATATAAATGATGCAAGTATAAATGATGGATTATAGGCAGGAGATTTAAGAGATGCAGAAGCTATCCAGAAAGGGAGATGCTTTGGCTTTTTAAGCCTAAAGTAATGAATGTCTGAAGTTCCAGAAATCACAATGGTATAAATAAAGAAGAAGTGTGACTACATTTCCAAGTAGGAAGTCTTGATATGACAGAAAAGTATTAAAATATAGGGTATATATGGGATATATGAGACATTTTCTGAAAGATTCATAGGACTTTGTAAATTAGTTGTCTGACTTCATTTTTAACTGGATAGCTAGAAAGAATGATATCAAGGATATGATAGATCATTTTCTCTGGTCTTTATGTGTGTCTTTATGCTGATGATGATAGACTTTAAGGAGTCTATCTAAAAAATTTGTATCTAAAAATCTATCTAAAAAATCTTAAAAAATTTAGCAGATCTATCTAAAAAATTGTAAAAGCTTTTCATGGATAACTCATAATTTTCAACAATGAGTTTATAATTTATCTAAAATCTGCTCTCTTTATGTGATAGATTTTCCTGATAGTCTCATTCTAATTCCTGCATATACAACAATTTATCAGTGATTCACATTATGCCCACATTTTATTCAAATACTAGGATCCTCACTCCTCACCCTCTATCCATTGCTGCTTTCCAGACAAAAAAAGTTAGCAATGGATAGAGGGTCTCACTTTTCCTACCCTAGGTTTTTACAGTCACTCCTCACTCCAATGTGATCTCTAATTGCTATGAAGCTTCTTTCTGCATTGCAGATTTGATCATATTGGGCCCTAGCTTACAAAATGTCTCCCTCTATTGTCCACAATGTAATTCCTAACTCCCTAGTGACATAAAGGATCTTTTAATGTTTCATGCATTCAACAAATGTATGAACTGAAAACCTAAAACATGCCAAATGCTACCTAGGAGGGCTCAAGGAGAGCCAATGCTGTCGTGCGGACATGGTCTGACCCTGTTTAATTTAAAGTCCATTTGTGGGGAGACTGATGATAATCAAATAATTATGTCAAAATATAAAGTGGCAGTTGCAAAAGTGTTGCCAAGTGGTTTGTATAACAGGGATTTTACCCAGGCAGGGAAGTCAGAGAAGCCTTCCTAAAGAAGTAGTTTATGAACTAAAATCTGGAGGATATGTTGGTGAAAGAAGAGAAGAGTGGTTTTCATAAAGCAGGGGTTGTGGGAGAAGGAAGCGCTTTTGCAAAGTTTTGTTGCATATGTAAGTGCGCTAGGTAAGAGGGTCTTTAAAAAGTTCAATTATTCTGGACCAGAGAGAGTGTGGGGCAGGATGTTGCAAGACAAGGCTCAAGAGAAGGAATAGAAACCGTAGAGCTTTGTTGAACAGCGTAGACTACTGAGTATGTCTTAAAACATTGGGAAACTAATGAGAAGTTTTATATAGGAGGGTGACATGATCATAATTCATTTAGCAAAGAAAAAATGGTGGACTGGCAGGAGGTGATTAACTTGGGCAGACCAAACAGACCAAGAAATGCTTGTTAGAACAGTTGTGATGATGGTGGCAATCTTGAAAATCTAAGAAAAGAGAATTTATTTCTAATGATGGAGATCTAGAAAATGCCTATATTTCACTAGAGTGTGAATGAAGGAAAGACGTGAATAAAGAATAGAAATAAGGCTAAAAAATGAGGAGGCAGAGGGAAGATAAATAAGAATCTAGGTCATAGAATCTGTGGCAGAAAGAAATCTATTATTGTTATGGGGACTTTAGAATCCTCATCCATTAGAACCACCATACTTGCTACCCAGGAATTACAGTTTTCTCAGCAGCATTCTTACATAGATTAAGAAGTGTCGTGATCCCATTATTCCAGGATGCATAATATTACAGTTTTTCCAAGTTCAACTTGAGGACTACCTGCATTAGAATCAACAAATATTAAAAAAAAATCTTGAAATAGAAGTAGTTCCAGATTCTGTATTTTTGTTTAAAAAAAAATGAACTCCTGGGCTAAAGCAATCCTCCTGCCTCAGCCTCCTGAGTGGCTAAGACTACAGGTGCATGCTATTGTGCCTGGCTCTGCATTTTTAACCGGTCCAATTAGTGGTCCTGACGAAACCTGAACTTTGAGAAGCAGTTTAAAATCTACTGAAATATGGATTTAGTGGCAAAAGTACTCAAAGTCTTGCATATATACAAGGGTTCATGCCCAAAACATGTCAAGAGGCAACATGATGTATTGAGAAAGCATTACTTTTATAGTAAGACTTGGAATTTAAATTGTAGTTGAATTGTTTGACTAAGTGATGTTATATAAGTTATTTAATTTCTGTAGAGTCCAGTTAAAAAACTATGTATTGGCTTTTTCAAGTCTCCTGCCTCTCATTAGTCAAAATTGCGTTTTCTATCTTTCTGGGTCTTTGTACACCATATCTATGAGCAGTTTTAAGGAATGCCAGAGGCTCTCTTGAGTCCCATCAGGTAAAACCTGGGTACTATGAAACCTCTGTGTCTCCCATGTAAGCTATGACCTCACCTGTGAGACTCTGAGACAGTTATTTCATAATAAAAATATATATTTTGACAATATGTGTAAACCATGAAAACCAGCAAGACACACACACACACACACACACACACACACACATTTTGTAATTGATTCAAAAAATGTCAGTAGAGCCACAATATCTAGTTATAAAATTTGAGCTTGAAGTCTGCAACAAAGTAGGCTATAAATTTACATACATGTGTTAAAAAGCTGAGTGACAAGTATGTGCCTAAAACTCCAAAGTTTATAGAAAGTTTCTTTTATGCTTGCAATTTTCTATTCAGATTTTTTCCAAAAGGTATGTAAAATAAAAGGGCTAAGTATCATTTCCTCACCTAAAATAGTGTTTTATTTATTAATTGATAAAATGCAATGGAAAATGAAATATTATCTAGATATAATGAAACAGTTGTCATTTTAAACAGAGCTATTGCAATATTTGAAATACAGTGAGGAATAAAGTTATTTTATTTTTGTTTACAAAATTAATCAGACAATTTACCCAAGTCATCTTGAATACTACTCTTTCCTGGATAAAAATTTAATCTGAGTCTGACAATTATGCACATGGAAAATCTTTATGCTGGGTTAGAGTGTCCCCAGCAGCTGGTTTACTTAGTATTAGTGATTTTCAATTGTTGAATATTCAGATTGGTAAATGTGCTGGAGAGTTTGAATTGCCAAACTTTTTTCTACCTCCAGCTCGTCTTATGACAATTTGCCTTCATTTTAAACATGTTATTATTAATCATAATTTAAAATTAGTGTCAAATTTATGAGGTGGCTTCATGAATTGACTGTACAAGGTTTTATTTTGTGTTAACAAAAATAAAAATAAATTGTAGCTTTCTGGTAGCTTGTGGAATATATTCAGATCTTAAAGAGGCAATGACTACTGTTTTCTAGGATCTCTTCCATCAGTTTGTTATGAGTTACATCCTGAAGTATAATCAAATGCCTACCTTGTTATAATTTATAAGATGATACTATTTTAAAATTATGACTCATCAGGAGAGTAGTTAAATTTTAATAATTATTTCCCAAAGCTAGGAGGACATGGAAAAGTTATAAAGAGGTTTATAGGTTTTAAATAATTGATTGATTTATTCTAGAAAAGATAAAGCAGAGTCTTGATTTCTGTTTTGAAGTACATGAAGGCTTGTTTTGCATGATGATGGACATGAGAATCCACAGGAAAACTCATTGTGTGAAAACAACACTATTCTTAGAAGAAATTGCATCTGGGAAAAGTCATTTAAACATCTCTATATTTTTGTTCACTAATCCATACATTGCAGCTAAAAATAACCATCCTAATTGTATCACAAGTTTTTAGGAGAATCAAATGACTCCATTTCCTGCTAAGTGGTGACCATAATGGTAGACAAAGACCATCTTGCTTCAATTCCCTGGTAGAAATCAGTTACTTCTTTGTTGATGAATAAATTACTCAAATTAGAACATAAATGGAAAAGCAAAGTATATATGGTAAAGCATTATTTTGTGAATTTTATTATAGAAGGAAATCTTAATTGGCCTAGGGAAAACCTTTGCTACGTTTTAGGACAACCATTATCAGTTACCACTTACAGAAACCTTTAGACACCTAATAACCTGGTAACAATTATTTGTTTGTTTTGTAATATTGAAGAAGGAAGAATCAAATGTATTGTGCCTATTTTATAAATTGAGGATAAATTTATTGAGTTATTGAACAAAATGGACATGAATTTTGCCCTTATGGACTTATTTCTAGTTAGAGGTAGAGAAAAAAAAACACATCCTACATAATTTTATAAACACAGTTGTGATCAATTCTATGTGTTAATGGAGGCTTAACAGGGTAACCTCACTACATAGTTTCCAAAGTGAAAGAAAATGTATTAGAAATTTTATACACTTTATTTTTTCAACAAACATTGATTTTGTGCATACTTTGTGCCACTCTGTCTAATACTAAGGTAATAAGAGTAAGCAAGAGAAATACACTATCTGAGATATCCCGTGCCTGTGGATTGGCTCCATTTTACAGATGAAGAAGCAGAAGCTTGAAGAAGTTAGGTTGCTTTTCTAAAACCATACAGATAGTTAATTGACACTCCAAACTAGATGTTTAACTCTACTGTGCTAGTTCCTCTAGTTCATTTAGACACTGAAGTTGGACAAGTGTTGTTTAGGGACTCTTCCATTTGGGGGATTTAATATACCCAATGTAAATCGCACAAGTCAGCACAGGAGAATTATCTAACTCTGATGTTATGTTGTTCAAATGTCATGATGTTTATTTCTTATCATGATGCTGCTTGTATTTTTACTTGTTTTACATGTGCCTCTTAGGAGTACGTATATAATTAAAAGCGTAACTTGTCCAGGGAATGGTTTGTAGTGTCTGAAGGGCCTCTTGTTGCTTGAAGCAGGTCATGGATTCATCATTCATATGAAGTCTTTTGTCTTCAAGTCAGGTTGTTTTGCTGATCACAAAGGTTTTCCCATAAATTCTCATCACTGCTTACTTCGGTTAATATTTCACTGATATCCTAGCTTGCCCTATTTAGTTACCCAGTGAAGCTAATAATATGGTTTATTTAACTCTGCTTCTTTTTTATATTTATCTTTTAAAATATTAGTATAGTGTCTTTAACATAGTTATACTAGTACACATGTATTGAAACAAATTGGCCTAATTAACAGAATTATAATTTTATAATTAGCATTCTCTTCCAGTAGTTAGAGAAGCAATGATATTCTAAAATACCCTAGCATTTCCATGTAAACATCTGTAATCTAGTTATCAGTTCACATTTTCAAAATAATTATTCATATATAATTTTTAGCAATATTAGAATGTCCTTTGGTACAGCTGCAGGGGAGATGTGTTCTTTATTTCTTTTGATTATATTCACTTACATGGTCCTATATCTTTTTTTTTTTCACTGTTTACAACCCATTTTACCTTTCTTATGTTGGTCTCACCACGATGTTAATAGCATGTTTTTTTTTTAGTTGCAACAATGCTCTTCAATAAATATTATATGCTAATTCAGGCAGAAACCACAGAAGCAGTTTCTCTTGGCTAACTTTATATGATAAACTACAAGCAGGAATAGTCACTTATCTTCAAAGGTGATATTGTAGTTTCAGTTTCTTCAAAAATAATTAATTTATGGTATACATTTTAATTTTAACTCATTATTTTATCAAATGTGCATACATATATTTAGCTAACAATATTAGGCATTAATCATTTCTGTAATTTGTGAATAGCATAATTGGTGTTAAGTTGTCCCTTCTACATTCTTTCAGTTGTAATTGTTATGTCTCCAGTTTTTTTATAATTAACAATTTATGTTAAAAATGGTGTATTTCCATATTAAAGACTTAGAATACCAAATAATTATAGTAAGTTCTCCCTTAAATGTATTCAGTCTCTTATTGTTCTGGACTGCATTGAAACAAGTTCATTTATTTCTCCATATTTGAATTAAATGTTGTCTTCACTCCTCTCTAATTGGTATGTGCTTATTTTTCCTCCGCTGCAGGAAGGCAGCTATTTATAAATTTAACTTCTATTAGATTTTCCATCATTTGATCTTTACTGATCCCTTACAATACATTGTCCTTTATGATTCATGTTGTCTTACATTTATTAATACAAACTACATTTGTTTTACCTTATGACATTTTTAATATGCACTGTACTGTGCATAAAATATCATGTGATCTACATGAGCAATTGGTGAGAATAGCTATTTGTATTCATTTTAATATGTCTGAATTATTATTTATGAATTTCTCACAATGGATTATCAATGTGGGATGGAGAAGGAGCAGAGAATGTCTTCTGATGTAACTCTCTTTGTGTGTGTGTGTGTGTGTGTGTGTGTGTGTGTGTATGAGAGAGAGAGAGAGAGAGAAGCCCAAATAGGCAGAGAAAAAGGAATAGACAAAAGCTGACAAACAAAAACAGAGAAAATAATTTTCATTAGTAATTTCAAAATTTTTTTTTTTTAGTTAAACTTACAAAGTTTACAAACCTTTAAAAGTAAATATAACTTTTCATTCACATGTTCACCTCACAGCCTAGCATTGTACATGTTGATGGCAAATGTTTCTTGAATGCAGGCAAATTGAATTTATAAATCTCTAGTATATGTAATGGAAGTATTGAGCATTGAACCACTAAGTGTTTTCTGAATTAATATAGTAATGCACAGATTTAATTGTTTGGATAAAATAAGGAAGTTCATAAAATTTCTAACTTCAAGTCTATAATAATTAAGTGGGGAAAACAAACCTGTAGTCAAATAATTATAATTAATCTTAAAAAGTCCGAGTTAAAAATATAAACACATTGAAATTTTGGAGAAAGATGTAACTGACTCTGAAAGAATCAATGACATTGTACAGAGGTGATTTTTTAGCTGCTTATTGAAAAGTTTACTGTATCTTATCTGTGAAATTCGTGGGCAGGTTATGCAGTTAAAACTGCATAATGCATATATCAGTGTTTAGCAAACGCTAACAAAAAAGAATGTAGTCGATGTTACATTTACGAATATTTTTTATTATGTCCTAAATGCCCTTCCATGGGTTAACTGAAAGCAGTGTAAAAGTCAATGTGGAGTCTTATCTTATGTGAATTCAGTGAAAACGTGGTTTTAAGCAAGTTTCTACTTTCTTAAAAATTCAGGTTTATCATATTTAATATAGACGTTAATATGACCTTCCTTGCAGGTTTAAGAAAGGTACATAGATTATGGGTATGAAAGGCACAATACGGTCATTAATTTATATACAAAACTGTGTTTTCCCTTGACTTTCCTTGGCCATTAAGGTACTGTTTCTGGTAAACCGTTTCCACTCATTCGGTGAGATCTTGAACAGCTAATATTTTTTAGATACTGATAACTTGGTATGTGAAGCTAACAGTTGGAGTTCTCAGTTTGGTGGCGAGATAAAGTTGATTCAGTGAAAAAAGTTTAGAAATAGGGACACGATGTACCCTTCACTTGGACTGAGTATATGAATACAGTGATCATGAAGGGCTTTCTAGGAGAGATCAGTCATCAATTAGGAAAAAATGAGATACAGTAGTGACAGTAAACAGAACTGAGGTAATAGGACAAATATGCGGATTGCTGGAATGAAGAACTATGAAACCTGGGGAACTAAAGAGGCAAAGTAAGTGGTATTCTAAACAGGCTAAGTGGTATTCTATGTCCATTATTTAGCAGAGTACAAATAAAAATGTTGGATTTTTACAACCTTATATTTCAATGGCAAATATAAATTTGTTAAAATGTCCAGATAGTGTAAAACATGAAACCTGTGTGGTATTTCCAATTAACTCCAGTTCCTATAGCAACTTTTATTAGATAGAAAAATATCTCACTTCTTTCCATTTATGCCTAATTTGAATCTATCTTAAAGTAATTATATGTTATTATTAACCATTTTCACTCTCTTAATACAAATGTGTGTGCTCTAACTTACTTTACATGTGCATAATTAAATAGACCTTTTCTTATCAATATCCCTGTGATAAGTAATACATGTTTATTCATATTAAATATTGTAAGCATCCTCTTATTCGTCTATATTACTGAAGGTTTTATAAAGTATTTTCCAATGATTGATTCTGCAAATGATTTAATCAAACTTTATGCATTTTTCTTTCATGGTACTTTAATACTACAAATGTTGAACTACAGGCATACCTTGGAGATATTACATGTTTGTTCCAGATCACCACAATAAAGAATATATCACAAAAAAGCATGTCACACAAATTTGTTGGTTTCCCACTGCATATAAAAGTTATGCTTACACTATACTGTAGTCTATCAAGTATGTGATAGCATTATATTATCTGAAAGAATAATGTACAAACCTTAATTAGAAATACTTTATTACTAAAAATGCTTATGGTCATGTGATACTTTATCAAGTTATAATATTTTGGCTGTTGGAAAGTCTTGTTGATGGTTGCTGACTGATTAGGATGGTAGTTGCTGAAGGTTGGAGTAGCTGTGACAATTTCTTAAAATAATGCAATGATGAAGTTTGCCGCATTGATTGACTCCACCTTTCATTAATGATTTCTTTGCAGTATGTGATGATGTTTGATAGCATTTTACCCACAGCAGAACTTCTTTAGAAACTGGAGTCAATCCTCTCTAACCCTACCACTGCTTTGATAGCTAAGTTTACAAAATATTCTAAAATTTTGTTGTCATTTCAACAAGGTTCACAGCATCTCCATCTGGAAAAGTTTCCATCTCCATAAACCACTTTGTTTGCTCATGTATAAGAAGCAACTCCTCAGGCTGGGCACAGTGGCTCACACCTGTAATTCCAGCACTTTGGGAGGCCGAGGAGGGCGGATCACAAGGTCAAGAGATCAAGACCATCCTGGCCAACATGGTGAAACCCCGTCTCTACTAAAAATACAAAAATTCGTTGGGCTTGTGGTATGTGCCTGTAGTCCCAGCTACTCGGGAGGTTGAGGCAGGAGAACCGCTTGAACCAGGGAGGAGGAGGTTGCAATGAACCGAGATCGCACCACTGCTCTCCAGCCTGGTGACAGAGCGAGACTCTGTCTGAAAAAAAAAAAAAAAAAAAAAGCAACTTCTCATCTGTTCAAGTTTTATCATGATAAGTTGCAGCAATTCAGTCACATCTTCAGGCTTTATGTCTAATTCTGCTTCTCTTGCTAACTGTTTCCAAATTCCTGTTGATCTTTTGACTTCCTCTCATGAATCACAAATTATCTTAATGGCATTTAGAGTGGTGAATCTTTTCCAGAAAGTTTTCAATTTACTTTGACCAGATTTATCAAAGGAATAGCTATCTATGGAAGCTAAAGTTTTATGAAACTTATTTCTTAAATATAGGGCTTGAAAGTGGAAATTACTCCTTGATCCATCAGCTGCAGAATGGATGTTGTTCTTCCTGCATATCTCCATCAGAGGTCTTAGGTGACTAAGGGTATTGTTGAGAAGAAATATTTTTTTCTCCAAGCAGTAGGTCTCAACAGTGGGCTTAAAATATTCAGTAAATCACGCTGTAAACAGATGTGCTGTCATATGGGCTTTTTGTTTCATTTATAGATCATAGGCAGAGTAGATTTAGTATAATTCTTAAAGGCACTAGGATTTTTGGAATGATAAATGAGTATTGACTTCCACTTAAAGTCACCAGCTACATTAGTTCCTAAGAAGCAAGTCAGTCTATTATTTGAAGTTTTGAAGCCAGACATTGACACCTCCTTTCTAGCTATGACAGCCCTAAATGGCACCTTCATCCAAAATAAGCCTGTTTTGTCTACATGGAAAATCTGTTTTTTCCTGTAGCCACCTTCATCAATAATCTTAGCTAAATCTTCTGTATAACTTCTTGTAGCTTCTACACCAGCATTGGCTGCTTCACCTAGCATTTTTATGTTTTGGAGACAGCCTTTTTCTTAAATCTCATGATCCAATCTCTGCTAGCTTCGAACTTTTCTTCTGCAGCTTCCTTACCTTTTTTGCCTCTTTAGAATTGAAGGGAGTTACGGCCTTGCTCTGGATTAGGTTTCGGCTAAGGGAATGTGGCTGGTTTGAGCTTCTTGCAGACCACTCAAGCTGGAGCTCTTTCTTATCATTTGTGCTTAATTATTGCTTAATTTCCTGCAAGAACCATTTCTTTGCACTCTCAACTTCAGTAACTGGTGCAAGAGGCTCAGCTTTCAGCCTAACTCGGCTTTTGACATGCCTCCTTCACTTAGCTGAATCATTTCCAGCTTTCCATTTAAAGTGAAATATTTACAAATCTCAATTTCATTTGAACATTAAGAGGATATTGTGGGGTGGTTACTATTAATAATTTTAATATTATTGTGTGCAGAGATAAGGGAAGCTGAAGGAGGAGAGAGAGAGAGAAAGAAAGTGTCAAGGGAAGGGTGGTTGGTGGAGCATCAGAACACACACAGCATTTATTGATTAAAGTTTGTCATCTTATGTGGGTGTGGTTGTGGTGCTCTAAAAAAGTTACAATAATAACATCAAAGATCAGTTATTATCATCAAAGATATAACAATGAAAACATTTGAAATACTGTGAAAAAATACCGAATTGGGACAAAGATATGAAGTGAGCATATGCTTTTGAAAAAAAGCAGTTTGTAGACTTGCTCGGCTTAGGGTTGCCACAAACCTTCAGTTTGTAAAAAGCCATGCAGTATCTGCAAAGCAGAGTAAAGCAAAGTGCAGTAAACATGCCTGAATTGACCATATTTCTTACTAGCTCTAGCTAAGTAAAATAGGCTCTATAACATATTAGCTTGTATTTCATAATTTCAACTCTTCACTCTTAAAGTAATATCATTCCTCCTATGTAATATGAAATTGCCAATAAAAATCTTTTATTGCCCATTTAAAACATATTTCTTCCTATTTTCATTTAATAGCTGACCGTGAATGATGAAAGAATAATCCTTATACAATTAAAAATGCCTATAAGAAGTTTTGATACTTTCACTGAAATTTAGCAATATGATTTTGAAACAACTTGGTTTTATCGAAATAAAAAGTGATGGTTTCACTAGAGCTCAAATGAACAAAAGCTTTGCCTTGCATGGTTAGGTCCTTGTATAGTTAACAACAATTTAAATAATCCCTCAGAATTTAGTTTTTTCATTGTTTTTAAAAATTTATAAAATGGTGACCTTTTAATAAATTTTTTGACATTCACTGTAAATAGGATGCACAGATATTTTAATCAGTTTAAATTAATTTGTTGAATTTTTAGTAACCTATTTTGATTTAATTTTATTGATTTCAAACCAATTTTTTGTAGGAATAAAATTCCTATTTGACTATTTGTTACTTAATAATATGTACCTTGCCACTCTACCCTTCAGAGTTTACACTCCAAAAGTAAGGCCCTACTTTAGATCATTTCTTCCTGTAATTTTGGCAGTGACCTCCTATTTCGACCTTATTTACGTTCCATCTCCTCTAAGAAGATCACTCTTACAAACACAGAGAGATTAGTTGCTTGTTCCTCACTATTACTTAGGCACATTTTGTCTCTTCAAAAATTGTATTCATGACACTATAATGTAATATTTTTAAAATCCTTGCCCCCTCAGACTAAAACATTAAAAAAATTTCCATCTATCACAGTGCTAAAACAAATTCATGGTACCAAATTTAACGTATATCTAGAATTTGATACACTAGTTAAATACCTGTGTTCTATGTTTTGCTAGGAGCTTTGATTAAATATAAACATAAAATCCTATCCTGATATTTTGACAGAACAATAAAAACTAGGAGAGACCATAAAATAATTTGTACTACTATCTTTTTCTTTGCCTAAAGAATGATATAGGGACATTTAACTCAGAAATAGAACAAGTTTAAAGCTAATACAGAAAAGAACTTATAAAAATAAAATGAAGATTTTCCTAAATTATTATGTAATTAATAATGAATTTAGCACTGAGAAAATGAGTGGTTTTACAGATAATATAAATATACTTTTTAAAACTACTTTACTTAATTTTTTTTTTTTTTTTTGAGATAGGATCTTACTCTGTCACCTAGGCTGGAGTGCAGTAGTGTAATCGTGGCTCACTGCAGCCTCCACCTCATGGGCTCAAGCAATCCTCTTGCCTCAGCCTCCTGAGAAGCAGGGAATACATGCAGGTGCCACCGTGCCTGGTTAATTTTTCTAAAAAAAAAATTGTAGAGACAGGGTCTCACTATATTTCTCAGGCTGATCTCAAACTCCTGAGCTCAAGCCATTCCACCACTTCAGCCTCCCAAAGTGCTGGGATTCCAGGTTTGAGCCAACCTACCAGGCTTGAAAACTATTTTAAACATACTGTTTGAAAATCTGTTTAAATTACAGATATCTTTATATTTTGAAGCATGATTTCTATCTAGGACTATAAATAAATACTACTACAAATGTTATAAGTTTATGTAATTCTTTTAGATTTTTCTCCTGAAGTTCTATCTATATAGAAAATCACAGTGAATTTTTACATCGAGATAGATACAGAAGTATTAAATTATGTAAATAAGAGACACTAAAATCAAAATATGCCATAATTTTAGAAAAATAATTCAAATTATGTTTAAAAAGAGTAAAAAGTAGCTTATGCATGTAATAGTAATAAAATAGATCATAGATTATAATAAAAATAACTTGATACCAGTAACATATTATTTAAAAACTTTTCTAGTTTCCTATTACAATATATTTGTAATGCTCACCAGAAAAAAAAAGATGTGAAGTTGGACATCATAATACATGAGTATTTAATTTGGAGGTCAAATTAACATCACCTTCTGATGATTGAACCTGGAATATTCTCTTAACGTTTTTAGAAATCTCTTTTGTGTCTCTATGATATTGAATCTCCATAGTATATAATTTTCTCTCAGAAATAGCTCAAACTAATTCAAAAATAAAAACCTAAAGCAAAAGCAAACAAATGAACATTAAGCACTACAACAACAACAAAATACTTCATGAAGAGCCGGAAAAGAAAAGAAGAAAAAACAAAACACTACAATGACCCCAGTGTGATATAATCAAAGAAGTTCCGGATGTTAAGTCAGGTAAACTGTTTTTCAGTTCTGGCATTTACCTCTGGCACACATTCGTTTTGCTTTTTTTTTGTTTGTTACAGATAATACTACTTAATTTTATTAATCTCACTTTCCTCATTTGTCAAATCAGAAACATAAGTATTTGATCATTGAAGTCAATGACTCTTTTATAAGTGAAATCTTGTCAAATCAAGCATTCAAAGCACAGAATTTAGGTCTTTTTTTTTTTCTTTTCTTTTTTTTTTTTTTGAGATGGAGTCTTGCTCTGTCACCCAGGCTGGAGTGCAGTGGCGCAATCTCGACTCACTGCAAGCTCCGCCTCCCAGGTTCACACCATTCTCCTGCCTCAGCCTCCCGAGTAGCTGGGACTACAGGCGCCCGTCACCACGCCCGGCTAATTTTTTGTATTTTTAGTAGAGACGGGGTTTCACCGTGTTAGCCAGGATGGTCTTGATCACCTGACCTCGTGATCCGCCCACCTCGGCCTCCCAAAGTGCTGGGATTACAGGCGTGAGCCACCGCGCCCGGCCGAATTTAGGTCATTCTATGAGCTGATTTAAGTAACTTTTTTCAGACTGTCTTGATAAAATAGCTAAGATTTTCTAAGAAGTTATGCTTTTCATTGTCTTTTTTTCTGTTTTAAGTTTTCAATTTTATTTGATCTTAATCTACTTTATATCTACTTGGATAATAAACATAAATACATTTATATCTTTTTATGATTTATTAATTTACAAACTTAAAATTTATTAAATATTAAGTTGCTAAGAAAGATGAAGAACTTGTATTAGTAATATTTTTATTAAACTTCATAATTATAATATTGGAAATGGTTTGGAATTTGTCATGGTCTTGTCCTCCTCAAATAAATAATATTTAAGGCCATAACCTCCCCCCCTTCAAAAAATAAAATAAAACCACAACATTACAGGAGGAGCCTACTAGGCAGAATCAGTTACTTTGGAAGAAATAAATGTGTGTGTGTGTGTGTGTGTGTGTGTGTGTGTGTGTATGCATACACATGACAATAGCATGTTATTTCAAAATTTAGAGTTTGTTCATCATGTGTTTAAAATACTTGCGTGAAACATGTTTTAATGCAAATGCACAATCTGCCTTCAGAATAAGTGTTGACTCTTATTTTCTTTCTGAGGATACACTTTTTATCTCAAAGATATTGATCTAAGCTGTCTGTTCCAAATCTCTCAGAAAACGGATAAATGAAAGTTTCATCACTGACTATTCATTTCATCCTCTGAACATTTATTTTTATTTTTAGAGGTATTTCTGCTTTATATCTTGGGTAACAGACATTTTATTTTATGAGAACCACACTTCATTTAAGTAAAACGTTATATTTTGCATATATATTTATAATCTCTTCATATTCTTCTCATGTCTTTCTATTTCATATCAGTTGCCATAGTAAAATCTTCCTTCCAAGGAAATCTCAAATTTTACTACTATCAGCAGCCATCAATTTTACTGAATTTGAAATTATAAAGTATTCTAAAACATTCTTGACTAAAGTATTTTTATCTAGTGGTTTAATGGTAAGCCTGAAAAGGACTAATATGTATGATTTAAAGTAGGTGAAAACGAAATAAAGACATTTAAGTTCAGTTAAGGACATGAATTACAGAGAGTCTCTTTAAAATAAGAAAACCAACTGGCATACTTTTAATTTGAATCATTTAATTTGACAAACATTTGGCTTATGCTGTTTTTATAAGGTCAGCTTGACAGGTTGATAAACTGTATCTCTTGAAAGGAGTTTTTTTGTTTTTAATCAGGGCATAAGAAAGCCCTCCTGTTTCCTTTCTCCTTTGTTTTGTGTATATTTCTAGTATAATCATCATGAACCTCTATTGCAGTTAGATACATGTATAAATCCCCCAGTAGAATTTAAATCTCTAGTAAAAGACTGTTTTAATCTTTGCCTCCCTGACAAATGTCCAACACATAATTCCTTACATATTGTCTACAACACTGTATGATGATGCAAATGTCATATGAAGGCACTAAATGTTAGCATCTCAGAAAGGAGTGATTTGCCTTGCACTTTTTACATTATTGATATGATTGAGTTTTGAGTTTTCTTCTATATATAACCTACATTTTCCAGGCTCTAGGTTAATTCGCAGACCTCACAAAACCCAAATTTAATTTGAAGATTTTAAGTATGCTTTGTTATAACACCCTTTTATGTAACGTTACTAGAAACGTTTTAATAAAAGTACAATTGTAGGACTATAACAAAGGGATAGCAATAAAGGAAGGTGTATGACTTAGTCAGATAAGACTTGCCATAGGGAAAAGTAGAGCAGCTTTAATATCCATACAGATGGATCGGAAACCAACAGTGAATTGAAAAATGCAAAGTTTTGCTCACAAGGTGACCTGGGAAAAATGCATTTGCAGGGGGTGAAGATTTTGCTGGTTTAATAATAAATAGGTATACATAAATAATTAATTTGTGACAGTTTTAATGACAACCCAGCCACAGGAGAAGACAAATCTACATATTGAAAGAAAGCAGTTAAAATGTTGACTTGCAGAATGACAGAGGTAAAGAGGATACATTTAAGTGGAGACAGGCAGCTTGTCTAAATATGGCTAATATTAAATACAGGTGATTATAGCATTTGAAATTGAAATTAAAAATAATCTCTGATTCACTTATTTTAAAATTGCCAAGTCCCCTCAGCTGCATATTTCACCAGGTGCTGGTGCAGTTGGAACAACAAGCATATCCAATGATTTAAAAATAACATTCACGGGTGTCACCTGATGTCACTCCAGATAAGAAATGATGTTCCCAATCAGAGAGAACACTCTCTAGTATTCATCTTAACACCTCCTAAACCTGTGCTACATATTTATGTCATGAATTTTAAAATAATCTTTTGGATATTGAACATATTAAATTAAGCTTTTTGAAAGTTGTAAACACAGACAAGAAATGGAAGACTTTCATTCTGGAAACTGTGTGTACAGAACTCCTTTTACATGATTGAGCTTAAAGATATTAAATATGCTGTGATTTGTTTTTCCTCCAAAATACTACAAACTGAGTTAAATATTAGGGTAGTATTCATGATTTCTTATTCTTCAAAAAGATATTTAAGATCTACAATTTTAGGCTTCTCAAGTAGACAGCTTTTTAAATACGTTGGTTCAGATTTGAGGAAGGAAGAAACATTTATCAAGGCACTCAGGCAAGCAATGTGCTAAGTGCTTTGTGTGCATTTACTTTTCCCAGTAAAAGTCTTCTGAGGAGAGTATTTTTTCTTTTTTACAGATAAAGTAACTGAAGTCCTGAAAGGTTAAGTTGATTTCCCGAGATCAGAAAGAAACTCAAATTCTCTCGAAGCCCAAGCCTTTTCCATTTATGTACTTAAATATTTCTGTAAAGGTTATTTCTCAAATTTCTCTGGAAAGAAGTAATAAAATAATTTTAAAATGCATTGATATTACTTCCCATCATTTCCCCCTCATTTGACCTCAGACTCTGTAAATAAAGAGTCTTGAATCACAAATGCATTTATTACTATTTCTAAATGCACAGATTGAGCTTCTCAGGCATCTTAAAAAAAAAACATACAGAAGAAAAAACACACAGCCACCTTGAAACATGTTGCTGCACACTGCAGGCGTTTCCAATTAGTCTGAAAGTGAACTAACAACTTGATTTAAAACACTACTAGCTCTCTGTTTTCCAGAACCTTTGAAAAGTTCACAAATGGGCACCTTGTAATAATGTTATAAAGCAATTCTGGGTGAAAAGATAGTTGACAGGATCGTAGAACATAAAACTCAAAATAGCAGAGAGAAGACAAATGAACATGAAATATCAGTAACACATAGTTATTTTGATGATTTAAATACATTTATAAACCATGTCTTACCTCCAAAGGTCATGGAAATCTGGAAGAAAAATAGAAACTTAAAGGAAACATCAGATAAGAAAAGTCTAGCACGGATAAATTGCTATTTTAGAAATTTTCCAGATAAAGCTGTACAATACTAGCTATTGGTCTTTTATATGTGGTTTTTATTGTTTCGAGGTATGTTCCTACTAGTCCAGTTTCTTAAGAGTTTTTATCATGAAGGAATGTTGAGTTTTATCAAACTATTTTTAGCATCAATTGAAATGATATGTTTTTTGAACTTTGTTCTATTGATATGATGTATCACATTGATTGATTTGTGTATGTTGAACCATCCATGTCTCCCTGGGGTAAATGCCATTTAGTCATGATGAATATCTTTTTACTGGTTTGTTGAACACAATCAGCTAGCATTTTATTGAATATTTTTGCATTAATGTTCGTCAGGGATACTGGCCTGTAGTTTTCATTTTTTGATGTCTGTTTGGTTTTGGTATCTGTTCCGGTATCTGGTATGTACTGGCCTTGTTGAATGAATTAGGAAGTATTCTCTTTTCCTCTATTTTTGGGGATTTTTTTCTTTTTTCTTTTTTGAAACAAGGTCTGGCTCTGTTGCCCAGGTTGGAGTGCAGTGGTGCAATCATGGCTCACTGCATCTTCTGCCTCCCAGGCTCAAGCCATCCTCCCACCTGAGCCTCGGAGTAGCTGGGACTGCAGGTATATGCCACCAAGCCCGGCTAATTATTGTACTTTTTTGTAGAGATGAGTTTTTGCCATGTTGCCCATGCTGACCTCAAACTGCTGAGCTGAAGTGATCCACCCACCTCAGCCTCCTAGAGTAGAAGATTACAGGCATGAGGCACCACACCAGCCAGAATAGTTTGAGTAGTATTGATGTTACTTCATTAAATGTTTGGTAAAATTCAGCAGTGAAGCCATCAGGGTCTGGGCTTTTTTGCTGAGAGACCTTTAATTATGGCCTCAATCTCATTACTTGTCATTTGTCTTTTCAAGTTGTGAATTTCTTCATGGTTCAATCTTGGTAGGTTGTACTTGTGTAGGAATTTATTTATTCATTTCTTCTAGGTTTTCCAATTTATTGGCATATAATGATCACTCATAGTAGTCAAAAATGAGCCTTTTAATTTCTGTGTTATCAGTTGTTATGTCTACATTTTCATTTATAATTCTATTTCTTTGCATCTTTTCTCTCTCTCTCTCTCTTCTTAGCCTGGCGATAGGTTTGTCTATTACATTTATCTTTTCTAAAAACCAGCCTTTTGATTTGCTGATATTTTGTATAATTTCTTTCATTCCAATTTCATTTATTACTGCTCTGATCTATTTTACTTCATTTCTTCTACTAATTTGGGGTTTGGTTTGTTTTTGCTTTTTGGGTTCTTTAAGATGTATCATTAGGTTATTTGAAGTTTTTCTATTTTTTTATGTAGGCACTTATTGCTATAAACTTTCCCTTAGTACTGGTTTTGTTGTATTTTATAGGTTTAGTATGCTGTGTTTCAATTTTCATTTGTTCAAGAAATCTTAAATTTTCTTCTTAATTTCTTCATTAGCCTTCTGGTCACCCAAGAGTTTACTAATTTCCATATGTATGTATAGTTTCCAAAATTCCTCTTTGTGTTGATTCCTAGTTTAATTTCATTGTGGTTAGAGAAGATAGTTGAGATAATTTCAATTTTTTAATATTTAAAACTCGTTTTGCAGCTTAGCATATGGTCTATTTTCAGAATAAGCCATGTGCTGAGGAGAACAATGTGTACTCTGCAGGTATTGTATGAAATATTCTGTAAATATCTGTTAGGTCTATATGCTATATAGTACAAGTTAAGTCTGATGTTTCTTTTTTTGATTTTCTGTCTGGATGATTTTTCAAATGCAGAAAGTGGGGTGCTGAAGTCTCAGCTCCTATTGTTTTGGGGTCTGTCCCTCTCTTATCTCAAATAATATTTGCTTTATATATCTGGGTGCTCCAGTGTTGGGTGCATATATATCTACAACTGTCATATCCTCTTGTTGAATTGTCCCCTTTATCACTACATAATGACCTTCTTTGTCTCTTTTTATAATTTTTGTCGTGAAATCTATTTTGTCTGATACAAATATAGCTGCTCCTCCTCTTTTCTGGTTTCCATCTACATGGAAATTTTTTTCTATCTCTTTTTGTTCAGTGTATGTGTGTCTTTATAGATAAAGTGTATTTCTTGTAGGATCATTGGGTTTTGTTTCTTAATATATTCGGCCACCCTAAGTCTATTGATTGAAGAGTTTAGTCCATTCACATTCAGTGTTGTTATTGATAAGTAAGGACATACTCCTGCCATTTTGTTATTTGTTTTCTGGTTGTCCTGTGGTCTTATATCCCTTCTTTCTTTCCTTCCTGTCTTTGTCTTAGTGTAGGTGGTTTTCTCCAGTGGCATGTTTTATTCTTGCTTTTGATTTTTTATATATCTGTTGAATGTTTTTAGATTTCAGGTTACTATGAGGATTACAAGTAATATCTTTCAATTCATTATTTTAAACTAATGTCAGCTTAACAATAATTGAATGAACCAACAAGTAAACAAATAAGCAAAGAGGAAACTAATAAAAATTCTACAATTTAACTTCATCTCACACTTCTAAATTTTCTGTTGCATCTATTTATATGTTATTTTACTATGTCTTGAAAAATTGTTATAGGTATTTTTTGATATGTTTATCTTTTAGAAAGATAAAACCACTCAAGATATGAGTGGTTTATACACCCCAATTACAGTGTTATAATATTCTGCATCTTACTATTACCAGTGAATTTTTTGCCTTCAGATATTTTCTTCTTTTTCTTCTCTTTCTTTCTTTCTTTCTTTCTTTCTTTCTTTCTTTCTTTCTTTCTTTCTTTCTTTCTTTCTTTCTTTCTTTCTCTTTCTTTCTTTTAATGGAGTCTCACACTGTCACCCAGACTGGAGTGCAATGGCGCAATCTCCGCTCACTGCAACCTTCGCCTCCTGGGTTCAAGGGCTTCTCCTGTCTCAGAGACTCCCTAGTAGCTGAGACTATAGGTTTACGTCACCACACCTTGCTATTTTTTGAATTTTTAGTAGAGACGGGGTTTCACCATGTTGGCCAGGCTAGTCTCAAAGTACTGACCTCAGGTGATCTGCCTACCTTGGCTGCCCAAAGTGCTGGCATTACAGGTGTGAACCACCGTGCCTGGACTTCAGGTATTTTCTTATTGGTCATGAATGTAGTTTCCTTTCCTTTTAGCATTTCTTGTAGAACAGGTCTGATGTTGATGAAATCACTCTGCTTTTGCTTGTCTGGTAAGCTGTTTATCTCTCTTTCATGTTTGAAGAATATTTTCACTGGATATACTATTCTAGTATAATTTTTTTTTTCTTTTTCCTTTACAACTTTAAATATTTCATGCTACTCTCTCCTGGCCTATAAGATTTCCATTGAGAAGTCTGCTACCAGACATAGTGGAGCTCCTTTGTATGCTATTTCTTTCTTTCGTTGCTTTTAGAATCCTTTCTTCATCCTTGACCTTTGAGAGTTTGATTATTAAATGCTTTAAGGTGGTTTCCTTTAGTTTATATCTGCTAAGTGGTCTATAACCTTCTTGTACTTCCATATTCAAAGTACAATATTTGACATCTATTCGATATTTATTTCCTTCTCTTGGTTTGGAAAGTTCTCTGTTATTATCCCTTCACCTCCTGTTAAGGCTAGTAACTCTTAGATTTGTCCTTTTGAGACTATTTTCTACTTTTTCTAGACATGTTTCATTATTTTTTATACTTTTTTCCTTTGTCTCCTCTGTGTATTTTCAAATGGCCTGTCTTCATGTTCACTAATTATTTCTTCTGCTTGATCATCTGCTGTTAAGAGACTCTGATACACTCTTCAGTATGTCACTTGCATGTTCAACTCCATAATGTCTGCTTTATTCCTTGTAATCATTTCAATATTTGTTAAATTTATCTGATAAGAATCTGAATTCCTTCTCTGTGTTATCTTGTATTTCTTTGAGCTTCTTCAATGTAGATATTTTGAATTCTGTCAAATGTCTCTGTTTCTCTGGGATTGGTCACTAGTGTGTTATTTAGTTTGTTCCACATATTCGAAGGGACTCAGGTGTTGTGATCCAAGTCTTTGGTCACAGTAGCCATACCCACATTATGGGGCACCCCAGGCCCAGTAATGCTGTGGCTCTTGCAGACCTGTATTTGTTCCACCTTGGTGGTCTTGGTGGTAAGATATGGATGAATTCCATGGATTACCAGAGACTCTTGTTCTCTTTCCTTACTTTCCCACAAATAAAGTGAGTCTCTCTCTCTTTGCTGAGCTGCCTAGAGCTGGGAGAGAGGTAACACAGGCACCTCTGTGGCCACCACCGTTGGTATTGCACTGAATCAGACTTGAACCAGAACAGCACTGGGTTTTGCCCAAGACCTGTGGTGGTCACTGCCTGGCTACTGCCTGTATTCCCTTAAGGCCCATGGACTCTGCTATCAGCATGTAGCAAATCCAGCCAGTATTGTCTTTCCCTTCAGGGTGATGAATCTCCCCCACCCCCCAACCCTGGTCCTGGCCAGGTTCAGAGATGCCACTTGGGAGCCAGGGCCTGGAGTAGGGTACCTTAGGAATCTATTAATACCTGGAACTCTATTCTACTGTGGCTGAGTTGGCAACCAAGCTGCAAGACAATGTCCTTCCCACTCTTCCCTCACCTTTCCTCAAGCAGAGCAGTCTCTCCCCATGGCCACCATTGTCCCCAGCCCATGGCAAGTACTGCCTGGCTACCACTGATGTTCACTCAAGGCCCAGGGGCTCTTCAGTCAGCTTGCAGTGAATGCTGCCAGTCGTGAGTCCCTCCCTTCAGAAAAGTGGGTTTCCATCTTACCCAGGGCAGGTCTAGAAATGCCATCCAGGAGTCATGGCCTGGAATTGGAGACTCCAGGAGGCTGTTTGGTGCTCTACCCCACTGTGGCTAAGCTAGTACTCATGCTGCAGGACAACATCTCCTTTAATCTTCCTTCTCCTTTCCCTAAGCAGAAGGAGTCTCCCTCCATGGCCACCGTAGCTAAGAATGCTTTGGATCACACCTGAAGCCAGGACCACCCTGGGTCTCACCCAAGGCCCATGGGGAGTAATGCCTGGGCAACACTGATATTTATTCAAGGCTCAGTGGCTCTTTAATAAGTAGCTAATGAATCCTGCCAGGAAGGAATCCTTCCCTTCAAGGCAGTGGGCTCTCTTATGGCCCACAGCATGTCTAGAAATGCCCTCTGGGAACTAGGGTCTGGAATAGGGCCCTCAGGACTCTACCTAGTGGCATTCTACTCTGGTTAAGCTGCTGTCTAAGTTGCAACACCAAAGTTCTCTCTTTTTTAAAAAAAAAAAAAAAAAAAAAAAAGAAAAAAACTTTTATTTTAAGTTCAGGAGTATAAGTTCAGGTTTGTTACATAGATAAATTTGTGTCATGGGAGGTTGAAGTCCTTTTTACTCTCTCCTCTCCTCTCCTCAAACAGAGGGAAGGTTTTTCTCCCAAAGCTGTGATCTGTGTTTTCTGGGGTTGGCGGAGAGGTAACACAAGCACTCCCTTAACCACCCAAGCTGGTGTCTCACTCTGTCAGATGCACCCCTAGTCCCCTGGATTTGAACTCAGTACAGCACCAGGAATTGCATTTCTTGAGGCTTAGATGGGCTTTCAAGTTTATGTAGGACTCCAGAGGACTGCAGCCCATGTTTGGGGGTCTTTCCGGGACTCAAGTTCCTACTGCTAGGGTAGATGATTCACCTCTGGCCAGGGCTGGTTTAGATGCTCTTTTCATGTGTGCTGGCTGAGTTCTGCCCAATGTTGCTTTCTGCTGTAATGGGGCAACACTGAGTTGTGCTGCAAAATCTGACCATCACTGTGTTCTCCCTCCCACAAGCACACAGGTTCTCTCCCCACACCATGCAGACGCTGCTAGAGAATGAGGGAGGAGGAGGGATGGTACATGTGATTCAAGACTGTGTTTCCTTCCCTCTTCAGTGTCTCTTTCCTTACTATGACGTTAAAGCCAGGTACTATGTTTGTTCACCTGATTTTTGGCTATTTTGAAGGTGTAGTTTGGGGATAGTTGTTCAATATGGTGTTCCTTCAGTGGGGGACAATCACTGGAGGTTTCTATTTGGCCATCTTGCTCAACCTCCTTCCCTATAATATTGTTTTCATGAAAAAAAAATTTCCTAAAATTATGAAGAATATATTTGTAAATTATTTTTGGAGCTATAGACTATTAAAATATTTAATAGTTTATCTATTAAATATATTTATATTTAATATATTTATATATATTTAACATATTAATATATATTTAATGTATAAATATATTATTATATTAATAGTAATATATTTAATATTAATGTACACTTATATTAATTATTTATTACATTAATTTTACATTATCCAATGAAATTTAAGGCACTCATGCATAATTTGAGAACTGTCCATAAAGAGATTAATTTGCAATAATTGATCATATTCTTTGCTGCAAATTAAAAAAATTACAGAAGACATGCCCAGAAAGCCACATCTTTTGATACAATAAAGCTGCTTTTTCAGACTGACAGAAAACTATTAAATATCATCTCATTGTCACCATTGTTTGGTAAAATATAGTTGCTCTGGCTGTTGTTTCAGTCAACATCTTGGTTACAAAAGCATATTAAGGAAATTTTACATGTGTACTCTTCCAAAAAGATTGATTGAGTTTATCTTGCTATAAAGGTCATATTTATGATTATTTGTAGAATTTAAACTATTTGCATCATTATGTAATGCAGAGCCAATTTTTAATGGGTGGCCAACTCTAATATATTTTCTTTGTAGAATAGGATGAGAATATAATAAAATGGCACATAAAATATTGATATGGTAATTCAAATTAGAATTTTTTCTCAAAATTTACATTGCTATATCTGTTTTTGCATTATATTATTCCATTGCTCTCTGAAAGAAATACATACAATTTAATTAAGGGAGAATGCATTCTTTCTTATAATAAAATATATTGTATACTATTAAGATTCACTAATGAACTGGGGGTAAAATTAAATTACATTTACCTAAAATATTAAGTGATTGGTCATAAAAAGTAAGAATTCTTAAGAAAATATTAAACAAAGTAACACACACACAAAGATGTTTATTTACCTATGGAAATATCTTTATTTTAGTCTTATAACACTGGCACAAAATTATGAAGATCATATAATTATAAAATTGTTTTTAAAATAAGCATTTACTGATGTTTGTTGAGAAAACTCATAAAATAAGCATAGCAAATTTGATTAATTTAGGGATAGGATTGAAATTAAGTTAGAAAAATATCATAAAATGTATGTCATTGTAGAATTATATGAAACACAGTAAGAGACAAAAGATATGAGCACTTTAGCATTTATATGTATTTTAATCCACACACACATTATGTTGCATCTAATTAGACCTACAAACAATTTTATTGTAATTTGTAATTGAAAGCGGAGTTGTTTTTGAAATTATTAATACCAATTCACCTACATTTATGTATTAAATCTGTGATAATTTTCTTATGAATGGAAACAAATATCTCTCTGCATAAAAATATTATAGCACTTAATATGAACATGATTTGTTAGCAGTTATAGAAAACTATTAAAACAGAAAAATTACAGAAATTTGGGGAATCACTTGTGGCCACTTAGTGTTCCATGAATGTAATACTTCCAAATTATAGTAGACTGTCTCATTCTCAATTTTCTTAAACCCCATAAGAAACTGGGTTTAATGACAAATATCATGGAAAATTATAAAGCAATTATTTAAATGTAACAGTAGTAGATTCTTAATCCATTTTTATAAGGCTTTTTAAATCAATGATAAGAAATTACACTTGCTTAGCCTTTTAAATAATTTTAACATAATGGTCACCTTTTTTATTCTCTTTAAATAACTTTGTTGTATATTTGGATATTTGGCCTTTAGCTGTGTATCCATAAATCAAACATTTAAAAATATTTTAATTAAAACAAAATGCTTTTTGTAATCAATTACTTATGTTATGCAGTTGGTTATTTGATAATCATAATTATTTTATTAGACATATAATAATTAGTTTATGAAATAAAGCACTAGATTGTGTAAAATACAGAGTCTTTTTTTAAAAAAAATTATAAAAGTGGAAATTGTGTACTAGCTTAATGTAGATGAGAGGTCACCTGGAAGTGAGTTATATTCCAGACTTAGCCATATTTACCATTAGAACAATGTAAAAGTAATTTAGAAATAAAAAAATCCAAACTCCCCAATTGTTTAAGTTGTTATAAAAGATTTTGAGAATGTGTAAGCAAAGACCAAGCTATAGTGATGCAACATTTCTGATGCAGCTGGCTCCCCTATCATCAGCCTGTTATTTAAATTATATCATCACGTCATAACCCCTCAGTGCTCCAGGCGGCCTTTAGAGATGATTAAGAGAAATGTACTTATATCATAAACGAGGTAGCTGAGAGCATAGGGAGGTAAAGTGTACAGGCTCACTCCTGTAATCCCAGCACTTTTGGAGCCCGAGGTGGGTGGATCATGAGATTAAGAGATAGAGACCATTCTGGCCAACATGGTGAAAACCTGTCTCTGCTAAAAACACAAAAATTAGCCTGGCGTGGTGGCAGGTGCCTGTAGTCCCAGCTACTCGGGAGGCTGAAGCAGGAGAGTCACTTGAACTCGGGAGGCAGAGGTTGCAGTGAGCCGAGATTACGCCCACTGCACTCCAGCCTGGCAACAGAGTGAGACTCCGTCTCAAAATAAATAAATAAAATTGTGTGCATTTATGCAGTGATGGCAATTTTCCAAATCATAGGTATTCAGATGTATTACTAATAACACAGGACTATAATCTAGTTACCCTAGCTGACTGCCCTATCAGCCTAATCTATCTTACCTTTTGGTTGAAACTCACCAAAAACAGTGCTTTTAGCTCTAAAGCCATGATTGCCTCGCATATCATGAAGATGATTGTGTAAAATGTAAGATTACTTTATATAAAACTTGAAGACTTATCTCAACATCAATTTGAAAGAGAAAAACATAGAATGCATAGGAGGTATTATAGGTATGGTTTTGAATTAATGGTGAAAAGAATAATATGATATAAGGAATACAAAAAGAATAGTATGATCCAACACTCCAAATGTAAACAATGCATGTATTTACATGAAGTACAAACATTGTTTCCTAATCAGAGAGCTTTTAATATCTGACTTTGTTTTTAGTTGATTTGATTTTTTATTTTTAGTAATATTTGATGGATTGAGAGACTCAGCCATTAGTGAATGTAATGCTCTAGGAAATTGACTCCAAAAATACACTGATCTTGTCATAACCTAAAACGTTCACTTCAAAACTGTTAAATTCAAAACAGAACTGCACTTGCTAAGTCACAGTGCTACCAATAGTAATTTTAGGTAACTGTCACTTTAAAAGTATCCATCAACTCTGCCTAAATATACATTATTTTTATATAAAAACCCTGGTATCTTCTTTCAACATGTATTTCAAAGAAAGCTAATACAGTGAATATGCCTTAAAAGCAACTACATTTCCCTGTTATGCCACTGTGAAAGAAAATTGTAGTCATTAGACAAAAAAGTGAATAAAATTGGTTATATGCTACATGGTGACCTTGATATTGATTTTTAAAAAAATATTCTTATACCTTGCATGATACCAAAACAACTACTGTTTCACAACCTTACCTCTTTAAAGAAACTATTTTCCATTTGAAAAAAACATTGTTCACTTGACAGTCAAAGAGAGAGCATATTGGCCAGGAACATTTTGGTAGCTGGGATTATAATGGTAGAGACATGATATTTTCATAATACAACTGCATACAATTTGAGGCACATGAAATCTTAAATTTATTTTAAGCTTCATGGAGTTTTGAATAAGTAAGTATGCATATGAAATCCTATTTTCAACTTAGAATATTAGGAGGTATAATGGAGATAGATAAAATTAAAAATTGTGTATTTGTTTAATTAGTCAACATTTTGATTAATGGGTTTTTAATATGTGCTCTTGTTTTCCATACCTCTGAAATACACTAGAAATCCACCTCTGAAATACACTAAAATTTTTTTGGCTAGGTTTTCCAACAAAATACTAGATTTTTGTTGTTGTTGTTGTTGTTGCTGTTAAGATGCTGCCTATGAGCCTCAGGCAATCTCTAGGTCTTTTTTAGTTCAAGAGATTTCAACTGAGAAAGTGCCAATTAATTCCAATTTTGATGGTGATATTCATGATGTAATCTCTAATGTAACAATTTTTGGGGAAAATTTGGTGACATGTTTCCTCAGGATATAGACAAAGACCAATATACTCAGCATTCTATATTACTGTCTAAATGTGACATAGTCTGTCAATGCCAACACATTTAAACAGAAAGTGAAAAACTCAATTCATTTTTTGTTTGTCTCTGTAATGTCAAGCATACAAGTCAGGTTCTTGAGAGTATCTTGGTATCTGACTAGTTGAACATCTAGGGCTTATGTTTGTAATCTGGTGATAACAGTCATTGGCCACATTGACCATACTACAGGAGTAATAGTCATATTAAATTTAAATCTCCTCAGGTAAAATCATATCTGGAATACTGTATTCAGTCATTAGAACTATATTTTAAGGGAGACATTGATAGTGGGGCACACCCTTGTGACTATGGCCAGGATGATGGGAGAACTTGAATACCGCCTTAGGAGAAATGATCAGGGTTACTGAGAAGTTCCAATTGAGGAAGAGAATGGTTGCTTAGAAAAAAAAAAATGGTTGTTTTAAAATATTGCACACATTTTCCTTTGGATAATACTCTAAACTGAGTCTATAAGGCAAAACAAAGAACTAAAATCAATGGGTAAGTTATTTGGAAATTCAAAAGAGCTAGAATTCCCTGAAAATTATAGCGGTCTGAAATTAGAATGCTTTGTCATTGTTAGATGTCTTTAAGAGTGGATGAATCAACCTGCCTGTGAAACTGTAGGAGAATTAATGCCCAGAGTAAAGAATCGGATGAGGAAACCTCTATTGTCTCATGTAATTTTGGTGTTCTATGAATTTAAAACCTGAAATACTTCCTCGTTATAAACGATACACTTTTTTCCAAATGTTTCAATGTTCCAAATATCCAATACAGGATAATAAGTTGAACTGTATTCAATTGCCAGCTTTGTAGGTCCTAGGTGGTTGAATCACAGTAATTTAATGTGGTTATCTGTGTCCATAGCTCTGTAAGACTATCCTGAAACAGGATAGAATGAGGAGGAAAAAAATGCTAGTAATCTCTATCTTTTTAGTATTTGCTCTGCTAGTACACTTGAAACCAAATTCAGGACACTGTAGATGCTTCATTGTTATTAATTATTATTAATATTATTGCCAAGATTTCAAACTCTCTTCACACCATCTAATTTCTTGTTTGATCTAATAGAGAAACAAACAATAACCAATCTGAAAAACAAACAAAAAATTAGGTGAGCTAATAGTAGGGAAAATTCTTGAAAATTGGAGAGTATTTTGGAAGTTACCCTGTATCTTTATGGTTACTGTTTTTTATGTAACCATAAGCAGGGCATGAGAAATGGATTTATAGGCATTATGCCATAAATATATATAAGAAAAAGTAAAGCTATGTAAAAGGAAAAGTGTGAGAAACAAGCTAACGGTAAGTGGTGATAACCATTGTAAACAGGCGTTAGGACATCTGTCCTCAGTCTCAAGTGTCACTAATTCTTTAAGTGACTCTGAGCAAGGCATGACATCTTTGATGACCTGAATTGGCTCTTGGGTAACATGGTGAGTTGGACTAATTGAGCTCTAGATACCGTTTGAAATCCAAAATCCTATTGCTGTTTGAAATGATAAAGAAAGCAAAATATAGCATCCTAGTAAATGCAGTTGAAGAAGAAGAAAATTTAACAGGGAAATCGATATTTTATCACAATGAAGTTAATGGAGAAAAAATATTTAGAAGACAAAATTATTATTGAAGAATAATAGTCCATGAGATAAAAAGATATACACCATGCCATGTTTTTTGTCGTCGTTTTTGTATTTTGGTTAAATGTATTGCATAGACTTGGTTTGAAGGCTGGTTTGGTCACTTGTTGGCTTTGTTACTGTGACCAGCGTGAGAATACGTCTGTCGTATATCTGATTACAGGAACTATTAATAAATGGCTTGTGGCACTGTGTGCGATAACAACCAATCACTGTGGTTGGTGTTGAGACCTCATTTCTCTTTGGCTTCTCCCAGCCAACGACTGAACATGGCAGGAGTATTAAGACACATTCATTGTTCTAAGATGTATGACTTCTCTGATGGTGATTCTGGCTTAAAAAAATACCAGGTGATGCTGGTATTCTTGTCAAAGTCTCCTTGGAGCTGCACTGGATTTTAAGATGCTTCCACACAACCTTCCTTCCGTGGCTGTTTCCTTCACTCAGGATCAGAGCTACCTCGAATCTGATAGTCTCCTTCTATTGGCTTTCACCTCTTTCGCTGTCACATATATTTTCCCTGATAATCTGTAACATGTGTAATCCAATCCAGGTATCTACTTTTTGGAGGACTTGGAATAATAAAACTCTTAAATTCTTCATATTATATTCAGCTTTGTCATCTGAAAATTGGAGATAACACCTAACTCATTTGGTTATTATGAGGTTAAATGATATCATCTATGAACATTTAACATATTGCTTATATAATGCTAGCATTTACTATTATGCTATAGCCAAACTGGATAACTCATTATTCACTGAATTATTTGGTCTCATCCCTTGAGTTCAAATTATGCACCCAACCTAAACTGCCCTCATCATTTATACATACCTATTTTTCCCATCTTTTATTAGAATCATTGTTAAAGCCCTCCATTTCATAGAACTTTCAAAAACATGTATTATTTTCCTCTTTAGAACTACTATCGAACTTAAAATATTTTCTCTTGAGCGGTCATTATGCCCTATTCTAGATAGTAACTGTTAGGGGGCCAGTGTCTCCGCCTCAGCCATTTTTGTATTTCTGGAAACCTGGCACTCAATAAATGACAGTAACTGAAACATGTAAAATTAAAATGTAACAATTTAAAAACTTTATTTACTGGTAAGTCAGAGATCATAAGTAGAAATTGGCCACAAAATCATGCAGTTTTTTATCAAGTTCAATGAGAATACCTTCAGAGGTATGAAAAAACAGGATGTATGTTTTATATTTGATTCAGCATATACTCTGTGGGGAAGATATTGGGCTAGGATTTAAGGTCTGTTCTAAAATGAAATGTTGTATTTGTTATATCAAAGATTTACAGTTGTCATATATCTATTGCCTCTGTAACTTAATAATCATTCATCCTATCTCCCTAGAAGCCCGCACTTGAATATCCTCTGGCATTAATAACTAACCTGTGTTTGCCTAAATAACAGATAAAGACTCTGTACACAAAAAATATATTTATCCCGGAGTAGGACATTACAATGGGGATAGTAATGTAAACTATGTGTGTATTCAGAGAGGTAAAGGAAGACAAATGTTTTTATGTTTTATTTTTATTTTTTATTTTTTTATTACTCTTTAAGTTCTGGGGTACATGTGCACAACATGCAGGTTTGTTACATAGGTATACATGTGCCATGTTGGTTTGCTACACCCATCAACTCGTCACTTACCTTAGATATTTCGCCTAATGCTCTCTCTCCCTGTGCCCCACTCCCCCAACAAGCCCTGCTTTGTGATTTTCTCCTCCCTGTGTCCATGTGTTCTTACTGTTCAGCTCCCAATTATGAGTGAGAACATGCGGTGTTTTGTTTTCTCTTCTTGCGTTACTTTGCTGAGAATGATGGTTTCCAGCTTCATCCATGTCCCTGCAAAGGACATGAACTCATCATTTTTTTATGGCTGCATAGTATTCCATTGTGTATATGTGCCACATTTACTTTATCCAGTCTATCACTGATGAGCATTTGGGTTGGCTCCAAGTCTTTGCTATTGTGAAGAGTGCTGCAATACATATACATGTGCACGTATCTTTATAGTAGAATGATTTATAATCCTTTGGGTATATACCCAATAGTGTGATTGCTGGGTCAAATGGTATTTCTGGTTTTAGATCCTTGAGGAATCGCCATGCTGTCTTCCACAATGGTGGAACTAATTTACATGCCCGCCAACAATGTAAAAGCATTGCTATTTCTCCACAACCTTTCCAACATCTGTCGTTTCCTGACTTTTAGTGATCACCATTCTCATTGATTGATGGTATCTCATTGAGGTTTTGATGTGCATTTCTCTAATGAACAGCGATGATGAGCATTTTTTCATAAGTTTGTTGGCTCCATAAATGTCTTCTTTTGAGAAGTGTCTGTTCATATCCTTCACCCATTTTTTGATGGCATTGTTTGATTTTTTCCTTGTAAATTTGTTTAAGTTCTTCGTAGAGTCTGGATATTAGCCCTTTGTCAGATGGATAGATTGCAAACATGTTCTCCCATTCTGTAGGTTGCTTGTTCACTCTGATGATAGTTTCTTTTGCTGTGCAGAAGCTCTTTAGTTTAATTAGATCCCATTTGTCAATTTTGGCTTTTGTTGCCATTGCTTTTGGTGTTTTAGTCATGAAGTCTTTGCCCATCCCTATGCCCTGAATAGTATTGCCTAAGTTTTCTTCTAGGGTTTTTATGATTTTAGGTCTTATGTTTAAGTCTTTAATCCATCCTGAGTTAATTTTTGTATAAGGTGTAAGGAAGGGATCCAGTTTCAGCTTTCTGCATATGGCTAGCCAGTTTTCCCAACACCATTTATTAAATAGGGATCGTTTCCCCATTGCTTGTTTTTGTCAGGTTTGTCAAAGATCAGGTGGTTGTAGATGTGTGGTGTTATTCCTGAGGCCTCTGTTCTGTTCCATTGGTCTATATATCTGTTTTGGTACCAGTACCATGCTATTTTGGTTACTGTAAACTTATAGTATAGTTTGAGGTCAGGTAGTGTGATGCCTCCAGCTTTGTTCTTTTTGCTTAGGATTGTCTTGGCTATGCTCGCTCTTTTTTGGTTCCATATGAACTTTAAAGTAGTTTTCCCCAATTCTATGAAGGAAGTCAGTGGTAGCTTGATGGGGATAGCGTTGAATCCATCAATTACTTTGGGCAGTATGGCCATTTTCATGATATTGGTTCTTCCTATCCATGATCATAGAATGTTCTTCCGTTTGTATGTCTCCTCTTTTATTTCCTTGAGCAGTGGTTTGTAGTTCTCCTTGAAGAGGTCATTCACATCCCTTGTAAGTTGGATTCCTAGGTATTTAATTCTCTTTGTAGCAATTGTGAATGGGAGTTCACTCATTATTTGGCTCTCTGTTAGTGTGTTACTGGTGTATAGGAATGCTTCTGATTTTTGCACATTGATTTTGCATCCGGAGATGTTGCTGAAGTTGCTTATTGGCTTAAGGAGATTTTTGGGCTGGGATGATGGGGTTTTGTAAATATACAATCATGTCATCTGCAGACAGTGACAATTTGACTTCCTCTTTTCCCAAGAATACCCTTTATTTCTTTCTCTTGTCTGATTGCCCTGGCAAGAACTTCCAATACTATATTCAATAGGAATGGTGAGAGAGGGCATCCTTGTCTAGTGCTGGTTTTCAAAGGGAATGCTTTCAGTTTTTGCCCATTCAGTATGATATTGGCTGTTGGTCTGTCATAAATAGCTCTTATTATTTTGAGATATGTTCCATCAGTACCTAGTTTAGTGAGAGTTTTTAGCATGAAGGGCTGATAAATTTTGTTGAAGGCCTTTTCTGCATCTATTGAGTTAATCATGTGGTTTTTGTCATTGTTTCTGTTTATGTGATGGATTACGTTTATTGATTTGTGTATGTTGAACCAGCCTTGCATCCCAGGGATGAAGCCGACTTCATCGTGGTGGATAAGCTTTCTGCGGTGCTGGTGGATTCAGTTTGCCAGTATTTTACTGAGGATTTTCACATCAATCTTCATCAGGGATATTGGCCTAAAATTTTGTTGTTGTTGTTGTTTTTGTTGTTGTTGTGTCTCTGCCAAGTTTTAGTATCAGGATGATGCTGGCCTCTTAAAATCAGTTAGGGAGAATTCCTTCTTTTTCTGTTAATTGGAATAGTTTCGGAAGAAATGATATCAGCTCCTCTTTGTACCTCTAATAGAATTTGGCTATGAATCTGTCTGGTCCTGGATTTTTTTTTTTTTGATTGGTATGCTGTTAATTACTGTCTCAATTTCAGAATCTGTTATTGGTCTATTCAGAGATACGATTTCTTCCTGGTTTAGTCTTGGGAGGGTGTATGTGTCCAGGAATTTATCCATTTCTTCTAGACTTTGTAGTTTATTTGCATAGAGGTGTTTATGGTATTCTCTGATGGTAGTTTGTATTTCTGTGGGACTGGGGGTGATATCACCTTTATCATTTTTTATCGCACCTATTTGATTCTTCTCTCTTCTCTTCTTTATTAGTCTGGCTAGTGGTCTATTTTGTTGATCTTTTCCAAAAACCAGCTCCTGCGTTCATTGATATTTTGAAGAGTTTTTTTTTTTGTGTGTGTGTCTATCTCCTTCAGTTCTGCCTTGATCTTAGTTATTTCTTGCCTTCTGCTAGCTTTTGAATTTGTTTGCTCTTGCTTCTCTAGTTCTTTTAATTTTGATGTTAGATTGTCAGTTTTAGATCTTTCCTGCTTTATCTTGTGGGCATTTAGTGCTATAAATTTCCCTCTACACACTGCTTAAATGTGTCCCAGAGATTCTGGTACATTGTGTCTTTGCTCTCATTGGTTTCAAAGAACATCTTTATTTCTGCCTTCATTTCATTATTTACGCAGTAGTCATTCAGGAGCAGGTTGTTCAGTTTCCATGTAGTTGTGTGGTTTTGAGTGAGTTTCTTAATCCTGATTCTAATTTGATTGCACTGTGGTCTAAGAGATGGTTGGTGTGATTTTTGTTCTTTTATATTTGCTGAGGAGTGTTTTACTTCCAATATGTGGTCAATTTTAAAATAAGTGCAATGTGGTGCTAAGAAGAATGTATATTCTGTTGATTTGGGGTGTAGAGTTCTGTAGATGACTATTAGGTCCACTTGGTCCAAAGCTGAGTTCAAGTCCTAAATATCCCTGTTACTTTTCTGTCTCGTTGATCTGTCTAATATTGACAGTGGAGTGTTAAAATCTCCCACTATTATTGTGTGGGAGTCTAAGTCTTTTTGTAGGTCTCTAAGAACTTGCTTTATGGATCTCAGTGCTCCTGTATAGGGTGCATATATATTTGAGACAGTTAGCTTTTCTTGTTGCTTTGATTCCTTTACCATTATGTAATGCCTTTCTTTGTCTCTTTTGACCTTTCTTGGTTTAAAGTCTGCCTTATCAGAGACTAGGATTGCAACCCCTGCTTTTTTTTTTTTTTTTTTTGATCTTCATTTGCTTGGTAAATCTTCCTCCATCCCTTTATTTTGAGCCTATGTATGTCTTTGCATGTGAGATGAGTCTCCTGAATACAGCACACTGATGGGTCTTGACTCTTTATCCAGTTTGCCATTCTGTGTCTTTTAATTGGGGCATTTAGCCCATTTACATTTAAGGTTAATTTTGTTATGTGTGAATTTGATCCTGTCATTATGATACTAGCTGGTTATTTTTCCTGTTAGTTGATGTAGTTTCTTCATAGTGTCGATGGTCTTTACAATTTAGCATGTTATTGCAGTGGCTGGTACCAGTTGTTCCTTTCCATGTTTAGTGCTTCCTTCAGGAGCTCCTGTAAGGCAGACCTGTTCGTGACAAAATCACTCAGGATTTGCTTGTCTGTAAAGGATTTTATTTCTCCTTCACTTATAAAGCTTAGTTTGGCTGGATATGAAATTCTGGGTTGAAAATTATTTTCTTTAAGAATGTTGAATATTGGCCCCCATTCTCTTCTGGCTTATAGAGTTTCTGCTGTTGTTCTTATGGGCTTCCCTTTGTGGGTAACCTGACCTTTCTCTCTGGCTGCACTTAACATTTTTTCCTTCATTTCAACCTTGGTGAATCTGATGATTATGTGCCTTGAGGTTGCTCTTTTTGAGGAATATCTTTGTGGTGTTCTCTGTATTTCCTCAACTTGAATGTTGGCCTGCCTTGCTAGGTTGGGTAAGTTCTCCTGGATAATATTCTGTACAGCATTTTCCAAGTTGGTGCCATTCTCCCCGTCACTTTCAGGTACACCAATCAAATGTAGGTTTGGTCTTTTCACACAGTCCTGTATTTCGTGGAAGCTTTGTTCACTTCTTTTCACTCTTTTATCTCTAATCTTGTCTTCTTACTTTATTTCATTAAGTTAATCTTCAGTCACTGATAACCCTTCTTCTGCTTGATTGATTTAACTATTGAAACTGTTTTCTCCCCATCTTTGTGGTTTTATCTACATTTGGTCTTTGATGTTGGTGACCTGTGGATAGGGATTTGGTGTGGACGTCCTTTTTGTTGATGTTGATGCTATTCCTTTCTGTTTGTTAGTTTTCTTTCTAACAGTCAGGCCCCTCAGCTGCAGGTCTGTTAGAGTTTGCTGGAGGCCCCCTCCACACTGTGTTTGCCTGGGTATCACCTGCAGAAGCTGCTACAGAACATCAACTATTGCTGCCTGATCCTTCCTCTGGAAGCTTTGTCATAGAGGTGCACCCGCCAGTTGCCAGCTAGAGCTCTCCTGTATGAGGTGTCTGTCAGCCCCTACTGGGAGGTGTCTCCTAGCCAGTCTACACAGGGGTCAGGGACCCACTTGAGGAGGCAGTCTGTCCATTTTCATATCTTGAACACTGTGCTGGGAGAACCACTGCTCTCTTCAGAGCTGTCAGGGAGGGACATTTAAGTCTGCCGAAGCTTTGCCCACAGGTCCGCCTTTCCCCAGGTACTCTGTCCCAGGGAGATGGGGGTTTTATCTATACCTGACTGGGTCTGCTGCCTTTTGTTCAGAGATACCCTGCCCACAGAGGTGGAATCTAGAGAGGCAGTTGGCCTTCCTGAGCTGTGGTGGGCTCTGCCCAGTTTGAACTTCCTGGCAGCTTTATTTACACTGTGAGCATAAAACTGCCTATTCAGGCCTCAGCAATGGTGGACGACCCTCCCCCAACCAAGCTCGTGAATTCCAGGTCAATCTCAGACTGCTCTGCTAGCAGCAAGGACTTCAAGCCAATGGATCTTAGCTTGCTAGGCTCGGTGGCCATGGGACCCGCTGAGCCAGGCACCAGAGGGAATCTCCTGGTATGCTGGTTGCGAAGACCATGGGAAAAGTGCAGTATCTGGGCAGGATCCTACTGGTACAGTCTCTCACGGCTTCCCTTGGCTAGGAAAGGGAAATCTCCCGACCCCTTGTGCTTCCTGGGTGAGGTGACAGCCCGCCCTGCTTCAACTCGCCCTCGGTGGGCTGCACCTACTGTCCAACCAGTCCCAGTGAGATGAACCAGATACCTCAGTTGGAAATGCAGAAATCACCTGCCTTCTGCATGGATATTGCTAGGAGCTGCAGACCAGAGCTGATCCTATTTGGCCATCTTGCTGGACCCTGACAAATGTTTTTAAAGGCAAAAAATCCTTTAAAAGAATTATATACATGTTTTGAGAGTATTGTCTTTGGCTACAAAGATTAATAACAAGGATTGATGCCAAGTCTGAAGATGGGCAGGTAATTGAGGGGCAGATACCCTAGCAAAAGTATTTTTGGTGTAAGATTGTCATGGCCTCAGGTGTACAAGTGTGAACAACCTTTCTTCCTGTCTTCATAGCCTTTCTTGGCTCCGTTTGTCAGGTTTTTTGTTTAACATTAATGACTACATTTTGATTCTGGCAACTTTGATATCTGTAAGATAACCTGTGTCATTACACTGATATCTGTAAGATTACCTGTGCTATTAAACTGATATTTGTAAGATAACTTGTGTTATTAAACTGATGAGAAAGACACGTGGGTCTCAGGATAAAATGTCCTTTCCCACATTGAACTCAGATCACTGACTCTAATGCTGGGAAATCAACTGACTGGCACTGGCAGGAATTAAACAGCAAAGATTCTCCCCTCCCTGGGCCCTGGTATGCTCTGATAAATGGCATATTTAAAAACCTACAGGATTTATTCACAGCAAGGAGTATATTATGAAGAATCTCAGCACAGGCATATGGTGGTAGACTTCAGATCTTTGGGTATTTGTCTTAAATACTGTAACTTTATTATTTGGATGGATGTGGATTCCTACATTATCAAACATGAAGGAATGAGAATACAAAATGTATTATATAGCTAAGCCTAAATGACACTGTCTCAGATTATCTATGGTTCTTATCCCCTCCATTAGTGCAAGTAATCGAGTATTTGAATTTGAAAGTGCAACTTTATCTCATTGTTCCATTATAGGTAATAAAAGTGACCTGTGTGAGGATATTAGATTAGTGATTTTACTTAGTATTCACCTTATGCTTAGAAGGTGTGAAATTGTTAATTCGTTCAAATTAGGTCATTATCCAGTTGTGTAACAAATAGACTTGTGCTTAAAAAGCTTAACTAAGCAGGTGCATAGAGAAGCACCTCTATCAAATGCTTCAGGAGACCCTTTCTACTGCTGTTCTTTATTTTTACATCTCATTAACAACAGTATTAACTCTCAGATACTGCTTGTATAAGGAAAATAGGGAGAAATTAAGTGTTCTGCATAATCTTCTTAAAATATCCTAAGTACAAGAAAGAGTTGTTTTTTTGTGTGTTTGTTTTCTTTTTAATAAGCAATAGCCTAGTGTCCTTTTGAACCTTCTCATTACTGACAGGTAGATATAGGAGGAAAACTGTATGTTATTTTTCTAGGGCTGCCATAAGAAAATGCCACAAACTGGTTGGCTTACACGACAGACATTTATTTTCTCACAGTTTTGGGTGCTGGAAGTTGAAAATCGAAGTGTTGCATGTTTGTTTTTTTCTGGAAAAAAAAAAACTCTCTTGCCTTACAGATGGCTGCTTTCTCACTGTGTCCTGATATGGTCACCCTTGGCCTGCATATTGTCTGTGTCCTAAATCTCTTCTTCTTATGAAGACACCAGTAATATTGAACTAGAACTTATATCTATTACCTCATTTTACCTTAATTACCTCTTTAAAGGCTCTATCTACAAATAGTCATATTCTGAGTGTTATTCAACCCATAACACTGAGACAATTTTTTTCATTGCTATGATTTATGTTTTTTCTTTGTGTGCAAATTCTCCCAAATTTATAAGAGGATGAAGCTTTGTAGTGAAAGCAGCTATGACATTGCTATGTGGCCTTTTTACATTTTCATAGCTACTAGTTTTTCTAAGTTTCAAAGAGCTCTGTGTAGTACATTTAAGATTGGAGGTAATCAAGAAGAGAACAAATAAGAAAAAAAAACAGAAGAGGATGGATATAAGAGAAAAAAGGAAAACTAGGTTCAGAGGTGGGCAAACACATGCCAGGATATCTAAGATATTATAGTCAATATTTCTCCTCTTGAGCCACATAAAGGACACTGAGGAAGAATATTACTTTCTGGAGCTTTATTGCCCAGTTCTAAAAATAAAAGAGATATAGATGGATAGTTTTTGTTACTTTTTGAGTCTGGGGCTCAAAAAACAAATAAGTGGGGTAGGGGGAGTATTATTAAGTTTCCTTTCTTTTTTTTTTTTTTTTGTTTTTGAGATGAAGTTTTGTTCTTCTCACCTGGGCTAGAGTGTAATGGTGCAATCTCGGCTCACTGCAACCTCTGCCCCCCAAGTTCAAGTGATTCTCCTTCCTCAGCCTCCCAAGTAGCAGGGATTACAGGTGCCCGCACCACACCCGACTAATTTTTGTATTTTTTTTAGTAGAGATGGGGTTTCACCATGTTGGTCAGGCTGGTCTCGAACTCCTGACCCCAAGTGATCCACCCAGCTCAGCGTCCCAAAGTGCTGGGATTACAGACGTGAGCCATTGGGCCTGGCCTCAAGTTTCTAAAGGTGATAAAACTTAAGAGATTTGTTCTCTAAAGGAGAACATCTAATCAGATTCTCAGTTCTATGCTCCTTGGCCCCTTTTTTTGTGTTATTTTGTTCGATTTGAAGATATTATTATTATTATTATTATTATTATTATTTAGTGATTTTGTTCAGTTAAAGGGTGAAATGTTCTCTTATTGGTCAATGTATTGCAAAGCTATTAATAAATGTTACTCTGAGCTAGTTTTAAAACTGCCAGGGAAAGATCCTTGGGGACAACATGATCTTGAGCATTTCAGAGTTATTTCTAGAAAATTCTGAAGTAGGACTTTACATGGAAGATTATATATCTCATACAAATATACATACCTCTTTAAAAAAGTTTTCTCTGAGTTCTTATTTGTTCCTGGCTAATCAGATCTTCTTTTTGTACTCCTTTGTAAACTTTTACTTAAAAATACAAAGAAAAGACAAGCCACAGACTGAGAAAATATTTTCAGAGCACCTATATCACAGTGGACTTGTATGAGAGTATGAAATATAAAAAGAACACTTCAAATGTAACAATAAGAAGACAAACAACCCAATTAAAAATGTGCAAAAGATATGAATAGATATCTCACCAAAAAAGCTTTACTGATGGCGAATAAACATGTGAAAAAAAACACCCTATATTATTAGGGAATTGCAAATTGAAACAGCAATGAGACACTCCTACACACTTCTCAGAATGGCTAAAGGCTAACAAAGATGTGGAGCAATACTGACTCTCATTCATGGATGTTAAGAGTGCAAAATGGTATAGTCACTTTGTAAGACAGTTTGATTGTGTCTTACAAATCTAAACATAGGTTTAGTATATAATTGGATGACCACACATGCAGATATTTACTTAGAAGAGTTGAAAATTTATGTCCATACAAAAACCTACATGCTAATATTTATAGTAACTTTATTCATAATTGCCAAAAATGGGAAGAAACAAATACCTCAATAGTTGAATGTATAAGCAAATGAGGTAATTCATATAGTGGAATATTACTTATTTATAAGAGGAAATTAGCTATGAAGCCAAATAAAGACATGGGAAAACCTTAACTGCATATAACTGTATGAAAGAAACCAGTCTAAAGAAGCAAATTTCTGTGTGATTGTAACTTTATGGCATTTTGGAAAAGGCAATACTACTGAGACGGTGAAAGATCAGTAGTTGCCAGAGGTTCAGTGGGAAGGAGGGAGGGATAAATAGGTGGCGTACAGGGTGGTTTTAGGTCAGTGAAATTATTCTGTGTAACACCAAAATGATGGTGATATTATGCATTTGTCAGAACCCATAGGCCTTTATAATACAGTCAACCCTAAGGTAACCATGGACCTTAACTAATAATATTGTACCAACATTGACTCATCCATCGTAACTCATGTGCCACACTAATGCAAAATGTTAATAAGGGAAACTATGTGAGGGGAGGTGGATTATATGAAACATCTCTACTTTCTGGGTCAGTTTGCAGAAAACTTAAAGCTATTCTAAAAAAGTAAAATATATTAAAATAGTTAGCAAAAGTAACTTGATTTAGACTCACTTTTATAACCAATGATGAAATATTTTCATGGCTTTATGTATATTAGACAGCGTAGATGAGATTTAATCAATTTTATTGAAATTGATAAGCAGCAGAACGATTTATTTTTCTTTTGTTTATAATGGTTTAAATTCTCAATGGTTTAGAAAGATTCTTTGTGAAAAATATTGCAGATTATAATGTTAATCCTGACTTGTTTCACAAAATACATTGTTAGCCAAATTAGAGTATATGAGTAGTCTTTAGATTAAAAAAATAGTTCAAAGTATTGATTCATAGTAAAAATCTTTATCCACAAAATGCATATTTAATTCTACAAATATAGTATGAATTATTTCCATTCTTATCAAACCAATATTAGCTAGCTTAGCTAACATTTATTAAGCACTTATTTATGTCAAGCACTCTTCTGAAGTTCTACATGGATTATCTCAGTTAATTCTCAAAATATGTCACTTGATTAGGTACTATTATTTTCCCTGTTTTGCAGATAGGTTACCTGAGTTATACAGAAATTAGTAAATTTCCCAAGGTTCCATAGATGGTAAATTGTGAAGCAAGGACTTGAACTTTGATTATAGATCCTCTTTACTTGATATTTAACCACTATATCATGCTACCTTCCACCAGCTACCATTTCAACTTATTTTTGTCCCCAATTAAAACACTTAAACGTTTATAATATTGAGGTAAAATGTATATAAATGGAAATATTAATTAAACAGCATAATATAGTATAGATTTTATAGAATTTGAAGTTAGTACCTTACTTTGAATTTCTGTATCTGCCTAAACAAACCTCCTAATCTCTCTAAATCTCAATTTCCTCAGCTGTAAAAAGGGAATAACTATCATCTCCATTTCACTAACGGCTTGTGAGAATTAGGTGAAGTAACATATAGGTTAAACATCTTGTAAACCATGAAACTGTAAAATATAAAACTATCATTTTTATGTATGTATAAATATGTAGTCTTCTGCCTTGAGAATTGCCAACTGCTGTATATCAAGAATCAAATCTTCTCCATATGTTGTAAATATCCTTAAGTGCGAAAAATAGACACGTGGTAAATACTGGTCAGTGATGATGATTCATATTATCTACAGTTTTATTATACAATGTAGAACTTTTCTCCAGAGTAGTAATTTCTCTCTCCAGAGTAGTAGTACTCTCCAGAGTAGTAGTAGTTTTTTGCAATTGCAAACATATTCACAAACATGTTAACACCCTGTTAACTCCATGGATGGAGAGTGAGGTCTTCTGTATAAACAAATGTATAAAACATAAGAGTAGAACATAATACATTAACACAAAAGCTGCTATGAACTAACAGAGCTCTTTGTATGTGTGCTGAACACTGGGTGTGGTGGTCATGTTGGCATTTTGTGTCTCAAACCTCAGTCCTCTGGTTTGCATTATTAGTGACCTCTCTCTCTCTCTTTCTCTCTCTGTCTCTCTCACCCCTGACTTTTGTTCTCTGACTCTTCCTCTGTCATCCTCCTTAATCTACAATCTGTTAAGGGAGATGACAGCCAAATCTCTAAACGGAAAAAAATTTTTTGGATTTATTTGAGATAAAACCTTATAGAATATTTCATGTAGATGGTTTTTTGTGACATTTTCACTGTAATAACACTGAATATCTCTTGATCACAATTATTTGCTATATTGCCTTTGATACTGCCTAACCTTATTGAAGTTTGAGTAACATTTGACTTCCTGGGACCTCTATGCCTTGGAGTTTTTGAGTGATAAATAAATTTGTACTGCAAACCTAAATACTTATTACTTATGAATTATATCGGAATGGAATATATATTAGTATAAACATTCACTTCACATCCTCTTAGAATTGATTATAAATGTTCATGCTGTATTTTGATGCAAGAATTAATTGGTAGAGTTACAAATTATAAAACATAAAATTGAAATGCTATTAAATGCACTGTATTTGATTTTATCTTAATTTTATAATTTACAAAGATATGTATAGACATTGTTTTGTTAATCTAGATTTTATCATAATCTCATTAACTTTCTCAAACTTTGTCTTAAAACTTTAATTGAAATTTCATTACAAGTATATAGTATTTTGAAGTGTCGTCTCCCATTTATGATAAGATCTATCTCTAAGGTTATTTTTATGTCCTCTTATAGATTTGTCTTTTCTTCTTTAATTTTGCTTTTTTACCTCTGTAATGCTTTCTTTATGTTTTCAGTTAAACTATGTGGTTTGTAATTAATGGTGAAAAATAGTATAATGGATTTTTAAAAGTCAATCCTGTAGGTAACCACACTAAAGCTCTTATTTTACGCTGTATATTTTGTTGAAGCATCCTGTAGATTATTAGGGTATATGGTCTGTATCTGTTGTTATCAGCTCTGTAACTACATCAGACTGTGTTGCTACCCTTTTATTAACCAGTGGAGCCCTGGCTGGCCTAGGAAAGGTTCTGTTATGCCGCCTCACAATTTTTTCCTGGATGGATGATGTTATTCTCAGGACACTGTTGGACAGGCCAAAAAAGTACTTCTCACGGTTGCCCCAGCAAAACATCCATCCGTGCACTAGCTCCCTTCTAATTCTCTTGCTAGTCCTTTCCACAAAGGATAGAAAACTTCCTTCCCTCAGGTGTTCATATATACATATATATATGAACATGTATATATGTAGAATTATATGCATAAAATTGGATTATTAATCTTTATCATTTTTGTGTAATAGCATCTCTTGGATTGTAATTGGAAGAAGGATTAAGACGTCAATTCTAGCCATAACTAGCAATACAAAATGAGAGTAATAATTGAGATAAACCTTCTTTGCTAGAGAGTTAATTTGGTGTCAAAGTTATACTTGATATGATTTCAATTGCATATTTTTAATGGTTTATTTTTAAAGAATAGGAAGACTCAAAATTAATTGCAAAGGATGTAATTAGATATAGTTATTTGCCATTTAAGAATACTTATTAACTTTTGTGATGAAAGATAATGATGTGATTTAAATATTTTTTAAGGAAATCATTTTTATATAGTTCACATGATTTGGTGACATGTGAATGAAATATTTGTATACATAACAAGCTATGCTACCATTGGGCCTTCTCTACCAACCATCATTGGCTCCTTCTTCACATACGTATTAATGGATTTCAAAGTATTAATGGATTCTGTATGAGAAAAGTCATTGATAGGGCTCGTATAAATGGAAGGGTGACCTCAACTAGAGAGAAATGCTTAGCAGGAAGGGCTGTAGTAACAGAAAGGACAGACAATTTCTTGTCTTAGGAGGTGAACTTCTGCTATGACTCAGTGATTAAAACTGTATACCAGACTCTGTGCACCTCCAGATACTAGCTTAGAATCTGAATCTCAACAAGGCTCTCAGCAAAGTTTGTTGAATGAATAACAATAATTGTGGATATTTATTAAACCATATTTAAATAAGGGCTTTTATGACCACATTGAATATAAGGCAATTGAGGCTTTGATCTATTAAGTAATTTGCTCAAGGCCACACATATACCAAAGGCAAGCGATTAGTTTTCAAAGTTAGGCCAGCCAAACTTCAGAGTTAAAGCATTAACTACTCAATGAGACAGATAATAGGAGGGACAGAATAAGGGAAATGAAGGATTGTTGGAAGCATGAGATTAACTTTTAGTCATAATTATAAATATCTATTAGGTTCAAAATTACCTAGATGTGTCAGAGGCATGTATTCAGATAATATGCTGTTTCAGTATCTTGTGTGTTACAACTCACCTCAAAAAAAAAATACCTAATTTAATCATGGAGAATAATCCTAATTTTACAGGTAAAGATATGGCGATGTTTGTCTCTGTTGTCTCACAGTGATGACAACTTTTCATTCTATATATAATGAAAAATATTATTTCCAAAAACTTGATAAGTTTTTTATAATTATATAACTAACATATTACTTAGAATATATAAATACATAAATATAAATTTAAATTGATTTTAATATAATACAAAAGCAAACACTGAATTATGTTGTATGGATAGTACAAAAATTCATAGAATAATTACATATCATCTTAATTCTTCATATTTTCTTTTTATATGGTTACTCTAAAGATTGTGCTTCTTAAAATATAAAGTTGTCTTCAAGTATCAAGGCATCAAGTTTTATACTTTAATATGCAGTGATTTTTACATTACTAGTTCAAGATACATGTTGGTAGTTCTTGAAAATCCTGATATTTAATTATCAATGTAGTTATTTGGAAAGTAAGTAATGTTATATAATTAATTGCCATTTTTTCTCTTAAAATTGAATTTCAATGTTTTTATTTGATCATATATTTTTTGGAAAGTATCTTGGTTTCTAATATCAGCCCCATGATTTGCTACTATTGTTGTTTAGTTTTTAATTAAAATATAGAAATAATAACAATAACACTTACTTGGTAGTATGAATAACACCTACTTGATATTGAGAATGTACAGCATCAGTGCTTTAAAAATCTTTTCATCTGGCTTGGTACATCATGTTGAAGAACTATGGCTATTTTTCTTTAAAAGCTGTAAATTTTAATTTGCAATTAAATATTTTACTTTTATATTGTTTTAATTTCTAAAGGAGAGGAAATCCTGGAATTCTCTTTAAGAACGTATCAGTGTGCCATATTTACATTCTATAAAGGAATGGTATACCATTTTTAATGAGTACATATTAAACTAATAATTTCTGTAGCTTATTTTTCACTTCTTATGTCAACTTTTCTATTTTTCACTCCAAATCATTGACATCATTCTGTTTACGGGAAGGAAAAGCAATTGTATAGAAAATAATCTGGAAAGCAAACAGTGTGGTCTCAGACCACTGAAGGATAGCAACTTCTCCTGGTTCAGCTCCCAGAGGTTAGAAAAGTAAAGATATATCTTCCCTTGGGATAATCTGTCTTTCCTCTGAGCTCTTTGAGTGTAGGGAAGGGCCCAAAGGGAAAAGTCAACTAGCCAGATCAACAGCTTAGATGACAGTGAACAAATGCTTGACTAGAACGTTTGTTCTGATGAAGTAATTCAATAGAATATTTAGTGTCATGGGCTTGGAATATTAAGATACTTTGTTCAGGTAGGTCAGTGATTATTTACTGACAGACTAAGTTACATAGGAAATAATGACCTTCCTAAAATCTTAGTTATGTAAAATCCCCAAATACAATTTACTTTGCAGAATTGTGATACGAATATACATATCAAAGTACAAAGCAATAGGGAAAGACCCTTTTAGGTCAAGATGCTCCTGTGTATAAAATGAAATATTAAACTTTTTTTTTTTATTCAAGGGATACAAACTAACCATTATCTTTCTTCTCTTTCTCTTTCCTTTTAGGTGAGTAACTGAAGGTTAAAGCCAGAATTCCTGGATTTGAAGTGTTATATGCTTTTTTATTAGTGTCCTGTGGGTAAGTAAAGAAAAAGACTTGGCTTAAACACCAGACTGGATGCTGAATCATGCATAGATATAAATTAATCAGATGTGGCCCTTTATCACTCAATGTCATGATCAAATATTTAAAACTACTCAATGTTAGACACAAGCATGGAGGAGGAATTTTTTTTCTAATTCTTAGTTATTATAATTGTGCCATTTAGAACTAGCACATAAGTAAATTAGGGTGCTTCACACTTATATGCCGATGTCTTTTGACAGAGCTGTTGCCAGTGGATATACTTTAGATGGCAGACTGTGTGAAAAACATAAATGAAGATATAATATTGGTTATTTCAAACTAAAGAGTTATAACATTTCAAACTAAAGAGCTGTAACACTAAAGAGCTGTAACATTGTAAACAATGAAACTATCTTGAAACCTAGAAGTAAAAACTGCTTTACTGATTAAAGAAAAGCCTTTAGAATTTAGATTTTTAAACATGGATATATGAGGGACTTCATTTTTAACGAATTTAATACTAAATCTACATCAAATGCAGAAACTTAAATGTAACTTAATGTTTCACATGAGATATTAAGAGAAAATGCATGGATCATTCTATTCTTAAGATTATATTAGAAAAACATTTATAAATTTATTAAAATAGGTTTTTTATAATTACAAGAAAATTGTTTCCTTTTGTGAGACATTTTTTAAAAATAGATGCTGATTTGGCCAAAGATACTGAAAATATTTTAAATAATTGACTTCTTTAAAAATTATTTTATAATTTTATTTTATTCAGTTCTTAGTCTGAAAATGTCAGGAAGGTATTTATTAAATATTAATTGTATTCATGGAGTTTATCAGTGCACACTGAAATTTATGAGCTGGAAATATACTTAAAAATTTAAGTATTAATTCCCATAAGATTTGATTATGGCATTAATAAGTTATAATATTTAAAGAATATATTCCAGGGAAAGTATCTTTATAGTAAGAATGAATGAGATTTCTGACATAATCAAATGCCATTTTGTAAGAAATTTTTCATTGTCTTTCTTTGGCTCCCTTTGGTTTGGTATCATTCATAAAATGTGCTATTTACTTTGTTACCAGATTCAAGTGTAATCTAATGATAAATATTTTAGGTAAAATTTTAATAACTTATGTTGTTGCTTTATTTGTTTATATTGTTATAATAAAAGTAGATGGATGGGAAATAGGTATTTTTTTCTAGGTTTACATTTGTAGCCTAATGCTTTTATGCCTTGATAAATTGTTTTTAGCATGAAAAGAGCTATTTCTTGAAATCATCTATTGGTGATAATGCTATTTATTTTATTTTATGAAAATTATTTTTAAAGGTCATAGATATTACTTTAAGAAAATGAATGTTAGTGCTATCATATATCAACTTTAGTCATAATGATTATTGCTCATAAAATATTTAATTAGACCAACATCAACAACATATTCAATCATAATATATTATCAGACTAGGTTAATAGCTCCTATTTTGGAGGTGATTAACATGACAAAATGAATGGTTTGAGGATAGATTCAAATAGGGAACCCAACTCTAAGTGTGTTGTAGCAATATCAATGGGGCAAGGTATCACGTTATTTCCTCTAAGACTAAGCAATTTCAAAATCCTGTTTATTTTCTCAGTTTGCTAAGACACCTAAAGATAAGCAAGGATTTGAAGCTATTTCAAAATCCTGTTTATTTTTCTCAATTTGCTAAGACACCTAAAGATGAGCAAGGATTTGCTTGGATGATAGATGCACCTATTATTTTGTAATTTTTTGTCATCTTAACTTTTTCTTTAACTTTTTAAATTTTTAATTGTTATGGAGACGTAATAGTTGTACATATCTTTGGGGTAGATGTAATATTTTGATACAGGCATACAATGCATGATGATCAAATCAGGGTAATTGGCAGATTCATTACCTCAAGCATTTATCACTAATGTTATCAGAACATTTATTAAGAAATATTTGGGGGTTTCAAAATAGATGACATAGCATGACTTTTGAGCATATAGAAAAGAAAACTAAGTGTTGGAATTGACCCTTTTATCATTTGAGATTGAGTTCCTGGGTGTTCATGTGTTTAATTATAAATGTAATAGACTTAACCTACTCCCGAGATTGACAGAAAAGCAACAATAAAATTTTATTAAGCACCATAAACCTAAGAGTATGACCTCTGTGCAACATGAACAAAAGTCTAGTGCTTGAAAAATAAGAGAATATTGAAAAGCATTTTAGCCTAGATTATGATAGGACATTCATTGTAGAGAAAATATATGATAAGAGATTAATTTCAGAGCATGTTCTGGCTTTATAAGAAGAAATAGTCTGGGAGAAAGGAATTGCATACAAGGTACGTGTTTTTAAACGAAAACTTGAAATTGAGTAGTCAGGATAATTTAGATTTCTAAATAACTTTTCATTCAGTACTTCAGAATTATAAATCTAAATGTCCCTGGCTTGTGAGATAGATTCTTAGGATAATATCAACCATTTAAATGCTGTTTATTGTTTAAGAATGGAAAAAAAAATCATAGTCAGTTTAAATGTTCAGTTGTTCAAAAAAACATAATAGGTAAAATGATTTAGGTTAATTACATCACTAAACTTAGTAGATACATTTATTCTTTGGTAGAAATAAGTTATCATAAAATCTTTATTTGTATATTTATTCATTCATATGTATATGTATATTTCAATTTATATGTATTTCAAATGTGGAATCAATCAAAGAATAGCCTCATCTCTTTCAGGTAGGTCATTTACTTCATGAAAATTGTGCACTTCTGGAAAATTTTATTCTGTTAAGGAAAAGGTAGAGGACGCATTTTATGCAGAGCTAACATATAATAAATTTTCTGAACAATGTTCACAATTCAGTCTTCTTTTCTATGGCTCTCTTTTGAGAGTCGTGTGAAGGGTGATCCAGCTGATATTAATAGAGTAGTTGCATGCCCCACATGATTCCTTTAGTCAAAACATCTTATTTCTTATAAGATTAAGGAAATCAGAGGTTTGATTCTGTTGTTTTTTTTTTTATATATATAAGATTTGGGAATCAGAAGAGCCTATATATAACTTTTTAAGTGTTCTCATGAAATACTATGAACTTTTCTGGTATAAAACTTTTCTACTTAGACTCTATGAGTATCTAGATAAAAACACATTATGGAAAATCAATTCAATATCACTTATTTTATATTTTAATAGTAAGTTTAATGCATTTAGTTTTACTGTTACTGTTGTGTATTTTTTTAATGTAGAGGAAAACATGTTTTTGAAGGGGTGAAAAAAAACAGTATTACCATATAAACTTACTTTGTAAATAAGCTTGACTTTATTCTGACAATTATGGCCTCCATTATTTAAAAAGAGCATCATGAAATCTACATTTTGCCTTTATAGGAAAATGTTTTTTTACTGCTTCAAGTCTACTGACCATATATTATCACATATCTTTGTATTTTAGAAATTTAATCAAATATTCTAATTTTCAAATGTTGACCAAATTTTTGAAAAGATTAAAATTCAATAGGGATTCTTGCTTTTGGCTTTTTAATCCTCTGAAGATGTAATTAATTTGTTGTTTTACCTCATCAATGTCTGGGTTTTAACACTATCTTGCCATCATTGATACACTGGTATTTTTTAAAGAAATTATGACGTTAGAGCTTAAATTAGATAATACAAGATCTCAGGTCTGACAATTCAAATACATATTTTTCATTTTAAGAAATTGTGTAAATTGATATTCAATATTATTCCAGATTTCATGTAGTTAGTTTATTCTTTCTGTTTTGGTTGTGGAATTTATAATTACAACTCTTGTTCAAAAGGCCTAAAATTACAACACATCAATGATATTTGTTGCTTTTTTCAAAACAGGACCATAATGTTTACTCAAAAATTATATTTTAAATGGATAAAAATAACTCATGTATTGTTGTATTGACTTCAATAAAATAAGTAAAATTAAAATTACTTTAGTTCTGAGGTCACATAAAAGAAAGCATCTATTCAGAAAGAAGAATAGATGTGCACCACAAATTCCAAATGAGAATGTAATTAAAGAGACATTTGAAAAGAAAGTAAATTGTATTAAATGGAAAGTTTTCATTTTATATTTTCTTTTTTTATAGAACATATTATTTCTACTGTATTTCAATAGCAATATTTACATTTGATTTTAATTAGTTGTTAAATATTCCTGAATGTTTTGGTTAATGAGTAATATTTTCTAGCATTCTAAGTATCGTTCAATGAAAAACAGTAGGTATCGTATATCTTTTTACCCTGATGTATTTTATTCTTATAAAATTTCTAGAACTCTCATCAGGAAAGTAAGAAAATGTGATGTAAGTTATACTGCTTATCACTTAGGTATGTGCCCAACTGATTATAGGGTCATTTCCAAAGAACTATCATTCATATATTAATCTTGTCAAGTGGTACTTCTTTATTACTAAAAGCACTAATTACTTGTCTGAAAGTAATAATACTTTGCATTTGTGAAGTACTTTATGCTCTTCAACGTAATTTTGCATGCATTATCTCATTTGGTCTTGAAAGAGGCAGAGTGCTCATTAAGTGGTCCAGATGGAGTGGGGGTACCAGAGTGTTCAGCCATAACTAATGTCCACTCAAACCAAGGTGAATACATAACTGTAAGAGTGCTGTCTATAATAAAGGAGAAAAAATTAACATTTCTAGCTTTATTCGAATAAAAATTTGGGGAGTAAATCCACTGTCGTCTTTATGGACTTTTCATGATCCTCTTTTCCCAGGTTAGTTACTGTCAGGACAAAATTCAGATAATTTATTCTACTATGTAAGATCCAATATTCTTCTTTGTTGTTATTATATAAATATTTAATGTGCAAATATTTATATAAAATCATTATTAAATGTATGATTTAAATCTCAACCCCTATTGTGTAGCCCAACCCCCAAAGATTTATAGAAAAACTGCTGTAACAACTGAATATTTTCAAAGATTAGAAGTGAAATTTTAGAATATTTTCTACACTTGAGATAGGAATCTCAGCCTTTTATGTTGATAAGAAAAAACTCGCCTACCCTAAATTTGGATTTTATTTTACATATGTATAAAAGTCATTTTATCTGTGAAAATACTGGGTACATGGCTAATCATGCTGACCACTTTTTCAGTCTCTAGTTTATCATAACAAATAGTATGGCAAAAAAACTCAATAACACGCAAGGGCTGTGTACTTGACTGAAGGATAATGTCTCTCTTGGGCCCTTTTGAATAAAACCTCAGCCAAAAACCTTGCACAGTAAAAGGTTTTAAAATAAGCATTGATTGAACATCCGCAGACTCAACTTGTTTAAACCAAATATGCAAATCTTTCTATTTATATGTATTTGAGAACTTCAGGTTAAATAACATTAGATAATACCGTAAAGTTTTATTTCAGTTTTCCTTTATTGACCTTGCAAAATAGAAAAGTAATGTGAAAAACAGTTTCTGCAGAAATACCTTTAGTTATGTTTATAACAATTTAGCTGTTATTTCTCATTAGTCATTATTTCTCATTTTCCAAGCTGTGATTTAGAGCAATAGCGTAAGTATAAATCTTCAGATACAATTCAATTCCTCTCCACTGAAGGCTGCTATCCGAAAGTAACTCCTTTATAGGACTCCAGGGATGTCAAGAGGTTTCTGAGGTCATTGATTCCATTATATTTTTCTGTTGAATAAGTCCTTCACTCCTACCCTCACCACCATCCTACTACCAAGGTATTAATTTGCTATAATCTGTAGAAGAAATATTACTGGGCTTTGATCATTCTTTACAAATCTACCAAGAGTTAGAATTTTGGAAATAGTGGAAAATAATAAATTGTTTGATTTTTTTCCACAAAGAAAAGATACTGGCTATTTCCCTATTATTTTATCTATTTTACAAAAGACTAAAATGACACCTGCAATACAGTATTACTCTCAAGTCACGTAATAGTCATTTCAACATGATTATTCCCAATCAGGAGTCTAGCCAGGAAAACCAGACAATCCTGTACATAAGCAGGGGAATCCAGGCAACAAAAACAGAATTGCCATGTGAACCATCAAAGGAAAAAAGACCCCAGTATGATTTTCATAAGTCTGGATGAGTGCTCTGTGGATTCAAGAACATGCAATAAATCTGTAACAGTTGGAGAGACTAAATTGTCAACTAAAGGAGAATTTAGCCTGTAATCCCAGCACTTTGGGAGGCCGAGGCGGGCGGATCACGAGGTCAGGAGATCGAGACCATCCTGGCTAACACGGTGAAACCCCGTCTCTACTAAAAATACAAAAAATTAGCCGGGTGTGGTGACGGGCGCCTGTAGTACCAGCTACTTGGGAGGCTGAGGCAGGAGAATGGCGGGAACCCGGGAGGCGAAGCTTGCAGTGAGCCGAGATTGCACCACTGCACTCCAGCCTGGCGACAGATTGAGGCTCTGTCTCAAAAAAAAAAAAGATAATAATAATTAATAAATAAAATAAAGGAGAATTTCACCTGAGGTTTTCCTCCCAGTCCACCACCCTTACATACGTGTGCACCTCCACAGGTGGTCTCCTGTGGAATTGACCATTTGATCAACACTTAAGGAAATGACTCCTTGCTGTCAGTCACTTCTTACTTACTCTTTCTTATTTCTACCTTCCCTTCTCAAATTTGATGGTATAGAAAGATTACTCTTTATAAATGCATTAGCTATATTAACCTAAGTTACTTCCACATGCCAAGTAGTGTGCTGCTTGCTTTGACTGCATTTATATTTGGCCTCCCAGGAGTCACACAAGACAGGTGTTAATAACTTATGTAGGAATAATAGTGGCTCATAGGCTCATAGTAGTTAATCAAATACCAAAATTCACCTAGCTAGTCAGTGGTAACTAAAGAACTAAAAACTATATTTGTCTGATTCCAAAGTCTGCACTTCACTTCCCCCACTACATTTGCAGTATACAACTTAGAAGCTCAAAGACTGATAATGTAAATAATTTGGTTAGTTTGTGTGTACTTGTATTTTAAACAGTTACTTTTAAAATTATTCTACTATGCAGCCATAAAAAAGGATGAGTTCATGTCCTTTGTAGGTACATAGATGAAGCTGGAAACCATCATTCTCAGCAAACTATCGCAAGAACAAAAAACCAAACACCGCATGTTCTCACTCATAGGTGGGAATTGAACAATGAGAACACTTGGACACAGGAAGGGGAACATCACACACCAGGGCCTGTTGTGGGGTGGGGGAAGGGGGTAGGGAAAGCATTAGGAGATATACCTAATGTAAATGAGGAGTTAATGGGTGCAGCACACCAACATGGCACATGTACACATATGTAACTAACCTGCACGTCATGCACATGTACCCTAGAACTTAAAGTATAATAAATAAATAAATAAATAATAAAATAATTCATTTATTGTCATTGGTACTGAGGTATATTGAATAAAATTATTAATACCAAATGGCACAAGTTAAAATGAGGGTTATTTAGCATTTCTTATTTGATATGAAAAAAGATTCCAGGATAATTGTAAAATATAAATTTGTCTCATTCTAGGAATAGTCTCTTTAATAATTCAGAGTCTGTAAGGAGTTAACCAGATTTCTAGTACATAGATTTCAAAAACACAGTTATAGTGAAACAGGCTAGGCAACTGATCATTTAGAATAAACTGTGAAGAACATACAAGTGTTCAATTCTTTATTATCAGTGGGTAAAAATCTCAGGAAAAATAACTTTCTGCCAAATTACTTCCACTTTAAATTGCCTTAGAGTTCTTGAATTTGTTTGCTGTGTATATTTTGTTGGTGTTTGTGTGAGAGATTTCTTATTGTTACAGATTTTCTTTGGAGTTTTATGGATATAGTACTTTATACCTGTAATGATTTTTACTTATATAATTTAACTTACATTTTAATCTCTATATGATATATTGTTGTTTAATCAGATCTGACTTTTTATTACCTAAGACAATGAAATTAAATGGTTAAGATATAAAAAAAATTAGGAGCTTATTGTTACAATTGGCATTTGACATCATACTAAATATAATAAAATAAATGTCATGTCTAAAAACACAGCTAACTTAAATCATACTCTGAAAAGGGCATAGTGTAGAACATTAAACTGTATTAAGTTCACTGTAATTCACATTAACACAAAATACTGAAATACAGTAAGTGTGGTGTTATGTTAACTTTTCCTAGATCTCACTGGAGTAAAACAAAATATTTACTCTAACATTAGTGATGAGGAATTTAGTTGCTCAAAGTATGAGAAAAGATACATGAAAGATAATCTTTTTTCTATTTTCCGATAAAGCAGCATAACTGTTGTTTTAAGGAGTTTTAACTAAGAGAAGCACACTATAATTTACAGAGGACTTTAGGACTCTTAGAGTTTGTTCTTACATTCAACAAATATTTGGAATTATAAGATATTGCAAAAGGATTTGTCTTTTCATAAAGGCATTTAAATATCCAAAATGATATACTTCAGGTAAAGATATATTTCTATAAATGATTATAAATTAGGTGAGTAATCCTGATTGTATAATATAATTCCCTAATTATTTAGGAGCTGCGAATTGACTTGGAATAGTATGAATTATGTTTGTTTTCGTTTTTCACTTTGCTTTTGACAAAGTCACGTTTCTAGAATGTTTGCTGATGCTGATTTAGCCACTTTATGCTCTTCCTGTGTCATGATAGGTAACTGAAAATGAATGGAAATGTATTCCTAATTAATTTAAATTCAACAAATACTTGCCAGGCATGTATTATAAAACTATACTGGGTACAACAGAGATGCTAGTTCAGTGTCTTATGTAAAACAGATATAAGATTGTTGAATATATATGAATAATTTATCATTGGTTTTATTCATTAGAATTATTAAATTCAACCAAAAATGCATATCCATATAATGTTACAAAAATTCATCATCTTCTTTCAGCATTTGAAAAATCCTCACTCAGATAGATTGTGCATCATATTTTCACCTATGACTTGTTTATGAACTACATTATTTTTCTCAGCAAAAAAACCTGAAGTATCATTTAAAATGATATTTAAAATATTTGGTATTAATTATAACTTTATGTTTGAATCAAATAAAAATAATATGGCATTGCATGCAGCACGATTGCTTTTTGAATTTTCTCTGATATACCTTATGAACTTACATGCCATTCACATTTCTATTTATTTATTTTTTTTTAACTTTTTTTGAGACAGAGTCTCGCTCGGTCGCCCAAGCTGGAGTGAAGTGGCCTGATCTTCACTCACTGCAAACTCTGCCTCCTGGATTCAAGCAGTTCTTGTGCCTCAGCCTTCCCAGTAGCTGGGATTACAGATGCACGCCACCAGGCCCAGCTAATTTGTTGTATTTTTACTAAAGAAGGGGTTTCACCATGTTACCCCGGCTGGTCTTGAACTCCTGAGATCAGGCAATACGCCAACCTTGGCTTCCCAATTTGCTAGGATTACAGGCGTGAGCAAACACGCCCAGCCTACATACATATTTATTAATTTAACAAATAGGTATTTATTACGTGAATGTTCATTAATTGCCTTCTATGAGCATGTCACTGTGATAGGTTGTGGTTTGTATACTCACAAACATATAAGTAAGGGTGATAGATAGGTGAAAAAATATTTAAATCGAAAGTAGGTTAATGATATAATAGAAGGAATAGCCTGAGTAAGACTACTTACAGTCTATAACCAAATGTTTCATAAAAACTTGCTTCATTTGACTCAATAAATACATCAGATGCCATTCTGGTGTACTCAGTAAATCAGCTTTCTCATCCATGATGTTCATTATTTCACAGTGAAGGCCAAATCTGATCTGGATAAATGAACAATGAAATTTAAGCAATCTGATTTTTGAGCAGAAGATACAGTAGAATTAATAAAATATACAAAAAATGTTATCATCTGTAGGATACTTGTTTGGCTTCAAGAAATTTTTTTGTCAAGCCTATTTAATCTTTGCTACTACTTGATATAATTGAATATCTCTTCCTAAACTATATTGTGAGACAAAATAAGGTGTTGTTACCAAACTATTTCTCTATTTGATTGCAACCTAATATTTTCATTTGTAGTTTAATTAGTTCAAATGTCTTCTGCCCCAAACCACATCTCTTACTGTGACTTGTATTTAGACCAGGTACAGAATTTTTACCAATTTTTCAATCCTTGCTAATTTTAGTTAGCTATGATCTGAAGTATTTAAAATAAAGTCGATTAATAACAATGTAAAGAAACTTACTAACTAGTCCCAACCAGACTATTCTTTTCTCTGTCCTTTTTTCAAAGTAGCTAGTTGTCTAGTTGAAATGATGTTTTTACAAAGCAATTCTCACCAATTTCAAACATCTTGACAAAAAAAAAATTGCTGGGATTTAAAATGCACAGACTATGTGATGGCTTCAGTAACTTTTTAAGTTGTGGTTGAATTAATGTTTACATTGTCTATACTAATTTACTCAACAATATCTTAAATCAATATTATTTAACATTACCAGAATATCTTTCCTTTGTTTATTGGGAAAAATATGTGACACATTTAAAACTAAAATAATTTATTTCAGGTCTACTTTTGCAAATGATAAAATGCAATAAGACCATAAGACCACATTGCAAATTTTTTAAAAATCTATACAATTTGGATTTATTATTTGGTATAATTTTTAAAAATCTCAATTGTTATTCTCTAGAGATTTACAAAGAGATAATTGAAAATTATTAATGGATTAACCAGACATTCTTGATATTCAGGAGTTATTTAATTCTCAGTCAGGTTACTTACCAGTGGAGCAGGAGAGTTAACTTGAAACGGCCTCTATGAAAGATAATTGTTAAATTTCTAATGAATTCTATAATGACCATATTGACAATAACATAAAAGAAGGTAAATGAAATAAATTCATTATATTTGAACACTTTATATTCATCAGTATTTTGTTAATAGTGTAGGCCATTATTTCAGTTTATAAATTTGAAACATCTGTTGCATATTGTAGTATATTTTAATTAACCATATTTGCCTCTTTTTTTGTTTTATTAACATTTAGGAATGTTCTAGCCATTCTTAAACAATTTGCTGAGTAAAATATTTTCAGTAACATGATATAAACCACCAATAGTACAAACAGCCTCTTGTCCTTAAAAGTCAATAGTAAATGGAAATTATTTGTATTATAAGAAACTCTTAATATATATAGGTATCAAATTGCAAAAAAACTATCTTACACTTAAAATATACGACTTGGTTTACTTAACCCACCACATAATAAGCAGCCAGTAAATACCTATTAATATTTTATTAAGAAAACAAGGAAATATTTTATTTTTTCTGTATAAATAAAAAATAAAATATTGGTGTTCTTCAAAGACACATCAAAATAAATATAAAAACCTGTGAATGATAATATTATTAGACAATACACAACTACACAAATTGAGCAAATGTATACTAGGTATTTGCAGATAACTCAAATTTTATATAGTCAGTGAATAAAAGGAACTGCCTAAAAATAAATTAATTGATACATATAAGTTTAATACATGCTACTAGTTACATATCTTTGGTATCTAAATGGTAAGTTAAATACAAATGATAAAGTTAAAATGATGTTATTGATCAAAATCTAAGATGTCTGTTTTTACAGATGGATAATAGTTTTGGTATACAATACTAAATACAAATGGAATCATAGATAATACTTATTTATGAATATTTCTACATTTAATCATTGTATAGGAAGATGTTTATTTAATATATTGAGTTCATACAAATAAATAAAATAGCTTACATAGAGAACAATTTCCTCTGTTACAAAGGTGTGATGTATGGTGAGTTTCTTATGTTGCTGTTTTCATTCCAAAATGTTACTATGAAATTCCAGTGTAATGGTACAAATGAAAACACCTTGTTCTAGTTTTTTTCTAATTTTTTAAGATTGAAGTTTTGGCATTTAATTCTTTAAGAATTTATTTTGATCTATAATATCCAGTTAAGTTTTAAATTGAGTTTTTTTTCCATTTTTCTACTAGAACAGTAACCATTATTGAATATGCATTTTTTCAATTTACAAAATATAAGTGTCTGCTACTTTATACCTGATTACCTCTCAGCAAAAATGTTAATTTAAAATTTTCATTTGTTAAGCATGTCCAAATTTTACCTTCTCTAAACTTTTCATTCTTTTAAGCCATTGTCTTTTCACTGGTGGACCACCCAAATTATTATGACATATTCTGTGGTCTCCAGATCCAAGTAGGAAATTACAGAGACTAAAATGTTACAGAAACAGATAAAAATTTTGATTTAAATGTGTCACATAGACAAGGAACCATGTAGACAAAAAAGAGATTTCAATTAATTATTTCATTAATATCATGAACTTGTTTTTTCTCATGAACTAATATAAGATTACTCAAACTCCTAAGCTGAATATGAAAATATAACCATAACAAAATTAATTGAAAAAAATTTTGAAGAGTCTTAAAGATAAAACTCTGGATTATTACAGATATTGTATCATCTGAATTTTCATTCTTTCTTTTGCTCATTGCTTATTGTAGAAATGTGAAAACAAAACCAGTTGCTGACCAGTATCTTTACAGGGGAGTATATAGATCATCCTATCACTGGCATATTTTTCTACTCAGGCAGAGAAACCACATTTTACATAATAGCACTTTTACTCACTTTGTGTTTTCAAATACTTCTCAGGTTTTTATACCGAAAGCACTCAAAGTCTAAAATAAATGGAGAAAGACATTGAGAGGCTCTTTAAACAAAGAATTCTCTAAATGTAGAGTTGGAAGGATTATCTGGTCAACATGAATGGCATTTTCATCTCTTGGTAATTTATAGACTTTTCTCATAATGGTCAATATCTCCACCACAAAGCCTGGAATTTGCCATGTTAGCATTTTCAATTCCCTTGCCACAAGGCCAGCATTTCCCATCAAACATCATAAGATCTCAGGAAGAGGGTAGTTTCAATCAGTCCATAATGAGAGAAGTAAGCAAATGTTATTCTGACTATGGTTCTCATCATCTCTTTGTTTTTGTTCTTCTGATCCACTAAAGAGATACCATTTATATAATTTATCATAAATGCTAAGAACCAATTCAAATTACTTATGTTAACAAACAGCACAATTACTTTGACATACACTCAGGGAAAAGTGGAATTTTGGAGGTCATAATTAAAATCCCCAAGGCTCAAAATGATTATATGACATCACCAGGTTATTTTGCAACAATAAGAAAAAATGATGAAGGAGTGAGAATGAGCTGGGTGTGAGAGTGTACTTAATTACTGGATAAGTCACATGTTCTAGAGTTTGCAGGCATGATGTTTTAATTGTAAGTAGAGATTTTAAAAGGTGATAATTAAAATCATTCAAAACTTACTGTATGATAACTAAGGCACTAATGACTTTAATCAAAATACATTAACACCTGCATGGTGCATACTACATTTCAGATTACTCTTAATATTTTATGGGAATTACTTTATTCAATCCTTATTTGCACTGAGGTAGTGTTATTATTATTCTCATCTTTCAGTTAGGGAGCAATGAAAAAACTAGTTAAACATTTAGTCTCAAGGAGTCTGACTCCAGAGCCCATTTTTCTCCATGTCTATCACTGGAGATAATTTTATAGCTTTAGTAAATAACTCATCTACTGTCAGCCTTATCTGCTCTATCATTTGCCCTTTCCACTAACCGTGGTCAGTAGTCCTTGAATCTGACTGCTAACAAACCTGTCACCTAACTTAATGACATCATCATTATGTAAAATTCCTATAAAGCTTTGGAAAACAGAACTTTGCAAATTGTATGATTTTATGCAAGCTCATATGTTAAGAAAGTAAGTTTTATTTCTTTTCCTAATACAATAAAAAAAGTTTGAACTCTACTAATGATTACAGTAAGTCTTCACAGCAAAAACAAACAAGCAAAAAACCAAAAGAAACCAAAAGAAATATGCTGTAAGTAATGTCAGTCTAAATTTAAAATTTTGCACGCTAACATTCAAACTTTTTGAGCCTTAGGTATTACTGGCAGAATATTTAGTTTTCACTTAGCACAGCAATACATAACTGCACTCTCCCCTATCAATAGATATACAATAGATGCATGATTGCAGAGGAAAATATGCAAATGTGTGCATACATACAACTATCTTTAAAATCAAAGTTATTATTGTGTGATTATGATCAGGCTTTGGTAGATCAAGTTAAATATTCCACTAACTCAGATTTGTGTTTCTAGTAAAATCCTATAGCTTAGTTTCTTGATGATCACTCTTTTTTTCCCTCTTATTATCTAGTCCCCTGGAAATCTTTGCAAGTTCACTTTTGACAATTCCTTATTCCCTATAAGGTAGCAGCAAAGATCTATTTGTAGTTTCCTCAACCTGCATTTATCTTTCACTCTTCTCTGCTTTTGCACAAGATGATCTCTGCCTATAATGCATTTTCTCTTTGTTGAACTGCTGAAATTCTAGAACTTTTAAGACTCCTCTGCAACATTTTTTCTAATGTCCTCCAAGTTTGTCGCATCCTTCTCTTTCTTGCTTAGCCTTACATACTTCTCAAGCTGAGCTGAATTTACTAGCTATGTGGCCAAATTTTTTATGTAAATTAGGAATAAGGGAACTGTGTGGGTCAGAGTCCTGTCAAGAAGCAGACTGGATAATTTGGGTAATTAAATTGCTTAATTTGAGGGGAATTTAATAAAGACTTGCTAAGGATAAGAAACACAGAAAAGCAAAGTGTTTTTTCCTATTTTTACACACTACTCAAGGGAACATTTCTGACATCAGATTCTCCAGGGAACACCAGCTGGTTGTCTTAGAATTCAGTTCTGATATTATCTATTTGAAGATAGTGTCACATCTCATGGTTGAAGGCTCAGCCCCCAAACTGCCTTCCACTTCAGATGCCAGTTGCAAGTTCCAGGTTGTGAACTGTACTTCTTATTGACCAGCTATAATCCTTGGAGTTCTTATAACCCTTTCACTGGGTTTAATTTGCTAGAGTACCTCACAGTACTCAGGGTAATATTTACTTACATTTATCCATTTATTGTAAAGTATATTACAAAGGATACAGATGAACAATCAGATGGAAGAGATGCATAGTTAAAGGAATGTGGGAAGGGGTGTGGAGTTTCCATGCCCTGTCTAGGGCACCACCCTAAAGGCACCTCCATGGGTTCAGCAATCCAGAAGCTCTTTAAACCTAGTCATTTTGGGGTTTTATGAGGACTTCATTGTGTAATCATGGTTGATTAAGTCATTGGTCATTGGTGATCAACTCAACCTGCAGCCCCTTTCTACTCCATGGAGTTCTAGTGGTGGCTGCTCAAAGTTTCAACCCTGTAATCCTGCCTTGGTCATTCCCGTGACCTGCTCTCATCCTGAAGCTACCTAGAGTCCTGAGTCACCAGGAATCTCATTAGCCTACAAACGACAATCTTTTTTCATTTCAGAGTTTGCCAAGAACAAAGACAAAAACCAAATATATATTGCAAAATGTCACAAATCTTCGTTCATGAATGTGAGAAGGGTGTGATGAGACCAGAGTAACTGTGCAGAACAATTTAGTGGCAATATGCATTCTGGCCATTCTTACTCATGAAAAGGCAAGAGGAGGAACACAAGAAGGTTGGGGGTGAGTGGAAAGGGCTGTATGGCAGGAGCTCTACATTTTGGTTGAGGGATGTTTCCAGCTGAGAAAATAAATGCCCTGATGTTCCTCTCCTCCCTCCTTCTGTCTCTCTCCAGTGCTTCCCGTTTGCGGGTCTCACCCAGATGCCAGAGCCAATGCTTAATATTATCCCTGCGAGTCAGCCTCTAGGACATTAAGCAAGTTTGCAAAGAATGAAGTCATTTTTTTCATATCCTACTGGGATTTGGTAAACATAGGATGAAAATATATTAAAACTCATAGTCCAAGTATGTATTCAATTTCTAAAATATCATTTGCATAATAACCACAGCCAAATTTTGAACTATTCACTTTTAACAGTAAATAGCACTAACATGTAACCAATTGCTTAAAACAGAAACTTGGGAATCATCTTTGATTCCGTACACTCCTTTATTTCCCATATATAGTGTATTTAGCATGGCATTTATAATACAGAATCTGGTGTCAAATTGCCTGGGTCCATAGCCTACAGGGTTGTCATTAGCCCAAGGATATCTTTAAATACCTTCACTTAAAGGTATTTAAAGAAGAGGCTTCATTTGTTTAAGTGACAGGTGCAACAAGGCTTAGTTAGTGGACATGAGCTGGATTTCAGCCCAACTGAAACTATTGCCAGCTTCTCTTGTGGAATGAATGAATGACAAAGCCATACATGAAGGCCCTAAAATCTTGGCTCTAACACTTTGCAGCTATATGATTTAGCTTAAGCTCTTCAAACCCATTCCCTTTTCTGTAAAAAAAAAAGTGATAATTAAAGTATCTACTTTATTAGATCCTTGTGAGAACTGAGTGAAAAAAATATGTGTAAAACTCTTGGAAAAGTTCTGGTGTGCATTAAGCACTAAATATGGAATTTCATATTCAAAATCTTCCTCAATCCTTTGCCCCATCTCTACTGCCTGCACCCATTACCGGATTTAGATTTAATTCTTCCTGGACTGTAAAAACAAATCCTTATCTTGTCTCTTCTTTGATCCTTTCCCTACTTCTAATCCTACTTCTCTATACTGAGAAATATTATGCATGTTGTTTCTGTTTCACCACATATATAATAAGCATTTACTTGTGTTTATTAGTATATCTACATTTCCAGAAAAATCTGCTTTCGATGTAATAGATATTTTGAAAATATCCACCAGCTTTTAACATTTTTTTTTCCTGAATTGCACGAGCCTGTTATGTGAAAGCACCTAGACTGTACTGAGAATCAATACGCATCATCATAAGGAATTCTAAATATACAGTGTGTGTTTTCAGCCTGGTTCCTTTTTCACTTGATTCGTGATCCCATTTCCTGACTCTGTTTTCTCACGCAACAGCACTCCTCTGGGTTCTCACTGTGAATCTCTCCACCCCTGCAGCTCCTGGTTAGCAGCTTCCTCTCTCCCTGTGGACTTCTACTTCACAGTTCCTTTCCTGGCTCTTTTCTCATCAGGATCACTCTCCTCTTTTTATACCAATGTTGCTGCCATTCATAGTAGCATCTCCCAACAAGGATGTGTCATTTTCATCAGCCTGAAAGATAAAATAAAACTTCCAGATCAGCAGTACCTGTAGGATTGAAAGTCTGCATTTATGAGCTATATAAAGCATTTATGAGGCATATGAATCTGCCGGAGGAAATGCACCTGTGAAAACTAAGTGCTCCTATTCAAAAAGAGCTACAACTCTGAGGCCAAAGGGCGAAGCTAAACCAATAGAAAATGAATTTATTTTTTTGGATATTGACTTTCTACAAAGTGTTATAAAACATTTCTACCCCCAAATAAATTGTGAAACTTGAGATTATTTAATTATTATCTTCACTCTTTCAGAAATCTCATCATTTACAAGTTCTTTTAATACTTACAAAGTCTAGTTTTGATTAACATCAAGGTTTGTTAGATTATAAAGCCCTGTTATAAATATATTAAAAGCTCAACTGCATGTTTAGCGCACACCGTCCATTCTGTAACTGTTTTGGTTGTTTTATTGCTTTTCTGATATTGAACTATTTTACCACAATGTACAAACAGTTATATTTATCTACTGTGGTTTGAATTTGATTTTCTTCTGCCATTTAACTTCTTGGAGAAAGAAATGAAGATACATTTGTGTTGGGATTTAACAGAAAATTACTTTCTGAAATGTATTTTATTTAACCAACATTTATAGAGGTTTCATCATATGCTAGGCATTATCCTGATTATTTTACAAATATTAACTCTGGATTTTCCTAACATCTCTAGGTGACAGCTGTAATTACTTAATCATATTTTATGATAAGAAAATTGAGAAATAGGGAGGTCCAGTAATTTGCTGATGTGCTCACAGCCAAATGTTGGCAGAACCAGGTTTTGAACTCAGGCACTATTTCAATACTTGCTCTTAACCACCCTGTTATTTTAAAGTAATAAACCATGTTTTTATTTCTGACCCCAAGTATATGTAAAGCACCAAGGAGCAGAATGCCTTTTCTGATGTGAGGTGAAAAAACATCTCAAAATACTAATGTCTGAGTGTTTTATTTTCCATAAGACAAATTAATGATTTTATGTGATTTAATAACTATACCTATATAGTATATTCTACTCTTCCTAGAAAACCCACCTGGAATGGTGTTGATTAATACAGCACAAGTATACCAGCTGGGCCAGTACTATAGCTATGATGAAAACAGATAAATCTCAAAAAGTAGCCACTAATTATTCCTTCTAGTAGGGCCTATCTATCCCTCTTTTGCCTATTCTTCAAATTTTGAAGGTAATGAGAAGTATTATTTTCAGTATCTAAAAATGTAATTTTGAGTTGTTTTTCCTTATGGTCAAAAAAGAAAATTGATACTTAGAATGTTCCCCTGGCTGGCCCAGGATTAATATCCAGAGGATTGTGGCCATTGCCTAATTATATGGTACCCGTGGCTGTCTCTTCTTCACTGGTGATATCTCAAGGATGTGAATTCAAGTGATTTCTGTTACATGTGCATACTTCCATAACTCTTTTTTATTTCCAAGAGTTTTAAAAATCTATTTAATTTAAATATGTAGTTTCATAGTGACACAAACCAAAATTAAAATGAAATGACAGACCGCTGATACTTTAGAAACATAGTCAATGAAATATTTCACATCATAACCTGGGAGAGCTGTTACATCAGTATAATGTCTTTTTCTTAAAATATGAGTGACTCCTCCCATTTCAAAAATATACTTATTTCACAGGTGCAGTTATCACAAATGTATGTGGAAATGTACAAGTGCAAAAAAGGTAGAGAAGGGAAGATTCACTTTCCTATTGGCTTGGATTCAGATTCCCCAAAGGTCACTGGCCCTTGTGTGAGGCAGCTCAGCCTACCTGAGTGGCCAAGATTATATGCAGCACTGATTATCTCAGATATTTAGAGGCTGGAGCTTGTCCCTGCATAGAAAGTGTTTCATGCATACTAGGAGGCTGTCTTTGCAGCATTAAGGAAAGCTCTGGCAGATAATAAAATGCAAATTGAAATTTCTGGTAATTAATGCCCAATCAATTTTCATGGTTTTCCCTATTTTTTGTTCTCAAAAGTTTATTCCTGACATCTTATTACCTTGGAGGCTTTTCTTCTGAAAAGCCTGCTACTGACTGGCTGCCAAAAAGAGTCCAGTTCACACCTTTCCTTTTCCAGTGTGCTCTTCTGCTCCATAGAGATAGACAATACTCACAAAAAGAGGAGGAAAAAAAAAAAACTCACAGTCCCAATATTTGCATGCTGGTTGAGTTTCTAAGCTGTCAGGTTGCCGGAAGAAAGCCACAGAAGGAAGCCAAGACGCTATCCAATCCCTGAAAACGAAACAAATGTACCGTATCCATTAAAATCTAAAAGCGTATGGAAGATAATGCTTTCTTTTTCTAACTAGTAATACTTGATTTATTTTATCTAACACTTTAGAAGTTGGGCTCTATCATATATTGATTTGTATTCTGCCACTTTGTTTTAAATGATTATGTTCCAGGTAAAATGGAACAACAATTAAACGAAGAATGGAAGATGGCATATATATATGTGTGCAAACAAGAAGTTTTCTCCAGACTTTATTATTTTTCATTTTTCTTTCATATTGGAAACAGATAGATAAGTAGAATACTGTTCCAAAGTGAAAGCAGTGAAGTGTGGAACTGCCTGCCCCTGTCAAATTGATAGAGTGAAGATGTTGAATGAGATAATGGAAACTTTCTATTCAATGAGGACTGGCGTAAAGAAAGCATTTCTAGTCATTCATCAGCATTGATTGCCTTAGTGCTTGTGGCAGAGATCAGAAAGTAGGCTTTACAAAGGGAAACTAAAACAAGTACAATGATCCACTTTGGGAAGTGCAGTTGTCTTTGCTTACCATTTAGTAAATAGCAATCACAGTACATGGCAACAAAAGCACAGTCAAGTCATTGAACGCCGAGCATGACAGTGATGTAGGTGGATATTTCTTCCTGTATTTCTGGCCCTGAAACTTATGAATATTTTAGTCTGGTAACTACGAACACTAAGTGAGTTTATTTTTTTAATCGTGTTTAATTTAGAAGATTTTTATTGCTTTTTTTTTCCTAATCATTTCTGATGATCAAATCTTTAAGAATTGTTTAATTTTCAGAAAACTTTCATGATAAATAGCAACACTAAAATGCAATTTAGTGAACATGTGTGAGCCTGCATACTGTAATTTATTTTCTGTAAAGGAGGTATTGAAAATATGGAAATGATGCCTTCAGTAGTTTTCAGTTTTATTTTCCTTTAAACATTTACAAACTTTATATGCCACAAAATATGTACATATTTTTACTGCACTGAATAAATGTGGTAGCTCATACATTGCTTTTGAGCAATTTATACTAGCAAGATGAAGTGGAGAACTGAAACAATTATCCAAATCACTCAAACCAAAGGAGCACTCTGGCCCCAATCATTTAGATACAGAATTTCAAATCAAAGTGTTTCTTTGGCTTGAATGATATGGACAATTGTCTCAGTGCTACATTATCACTGACTATAGATTTCCAATCTGATTATGGGTCTAACATAAGATGGAAAAAATAATAACATGTAATTGTGTTTTGAGAACTTGGCTCATTCCAAAATCGTTGTGCCAGGGTTTCCTAGTGCAGACACAATCTAAAGGTTAGTCATCTTTTGAAGATGAGTCAACTCTTAAAGCCACTCGAGTACTATTTAGAACAAAGAAGAAACTCTTTCCCTGGTTAGTTTGCCTCTTCAAGAGTCCTGTTTGCTTTAAAATTTTTTAAATATTTTTTTCTGAAATAAATAATGTTCTATTGCTCAGTAGAATATAATAATCTCTGCAATCAAAACAATGTAGTTTCCACAATCAATGTGAAAAAATGATTTAAATTAGTTTGGCATGAATATATGTGATTATACTAGATCAGTAATTTTAGTTTGACTTATTAATTTGTATATAATAATAAAGCAAAAGCCTAAGTATTCAGGCAGTGATTATAATTATTTTGATTATTGACACACACAGAAGGAACAATCTCCAAACCAAATCCTGTTTAATTGCTTTATGACACCATCTTTGTCTTTTGGAAATATCTGCAAAAGGTCTGGACAAATTTTTGAAGTGCTGATAGTTTACTCTGTGTTTAGGATATTTATTTCATCTAGAAAAAAGTAGACAGATCCTCAACATAACTAAACAAATGTCTGGCATGATGATGGCTTTATTTGAATTTGTAAGTAATTGTAGCTGTTGTGTTGTGTCTAAAATGCACCTGTCACATGAGTACTCCATGAAATACATGGTGCCTGCCAGTGGTTCACAGTTGGTTTTCCACCTTTGACAGACATTCACATTTGCAAGACACTGCTATGGGCTGCACCTAGTAAAAATAATCGCAGATTATTTGCAATTTCTACTACACTGTTTTCAGTTTACCTTTTATTCTCAAGCAGCTTAGTGATGGGTATCATCTTAAAGCTATTCTAAACTCTAAATTACTTGGAAAGTAAACTATTCACAAATTATAGTTTTTAATCTATCATTAGTAACGAATTCTTTGTTAAACCTTGTGACTCCACGATTGTGGAACAGAGGTCCTAAGATGAATCCGTGAGGATATCTCTAATCAGTGGAGTTTGCAATCGGTTCTCAGAAATCTTACAATTAGCCGTGACTCCTGCGCTCCAGTTTGAGTAACTGGAAAGAATAGTTGTGATTTTTTTCATTTTTGATGAAGAAAAATATGTGTCTTATTTTTTTGCTTTCTCTTTCCATTGTCCTTTTCTATTATCCCTAATTTCCATATTGCTTTTCTTTCTCAACAGACATGTTTTTACATTTTTCTTTCTTTCTTTCTATTTATTTATTTATTTTTTGAGAAAGAGTCTCACTCTGTCACTCAGGCTGGAGTGCAGTGGCAAGATCTTGGCTCATTGCAACCTCTGCCGCCTGGGTTCAAGGATTCTCCTGCCTCAGCCTCCTGAGTAGCTGGGATTACAGGCATCTGCCACCAGGCCCAGCTAATTTTTGTATTTTTAGTAGAGACAGGGCTTCACTATATTGGCCAGGCCGGTCTTGAACTCCTGACCTAGTGATCCACCAGCCTTGGCCTTCCAAAGTGCTAGGATTACAGGTGTGAGCCACAGCGCCTGGCCTCTGATCAGTGTTTATCATAATTGCTTCCAGTTTCTACTCAGTTAAGTGTAACACCTCTTTTGTGAATCACTATTCTAATTATTTTCTATCCTTTTTTCATTTCTCATTAATAATTATTCTCTTATGAAATATTTTCTATGGCCTTCAGTGAGTATCCTATTTTTATTTTCTATAAGATAGTAAGTTAATGTTAATCGAATGTTCATATATTAAATCTAGTAGTTCATTTGCTTAACAGCCACTAATTCTTACAAAGATCCTGAGATAGTATATAAATTCCCATTTCAAGGGAGTTTTTAAAGTTCACATTAAATTATTTAACTTACAGAGGACCATGCAGGTATTTTTTTGGCAATTCAAATATTTCTAAATTAAAAACAAAACAAAACAAAGTCACCTTTTTCCCCTAATCTAATGCCCTTTAATGAGAAAATCATGAAATCTGTATTTCCACGTTCTTATTCCTAACTCTTGTCTGACCCTTTATGGCATCATTTGAGATTTTGAAGACAATAATCATGTTACACTCAATAATTCTCTTTAGGTGAGACACTTCCACATCTTTAAAAAATATGACAGAAATTTCATTTATTTCACCTTTTCTCCATTTACATCTTTGGCTGGTAACTTAAGGAACTTCTGAAAATGTTATGTCCAAAATGTCTGCAATTATATAAATAAAGCCTAAGGATGCATTTGCTTTTAGAACTATGATATTAAACCATATTAAATTTCAGGGAAATAAAACTGCATAAATTCAAGTGAGGCCTAATTTCTCCTGACTTAAATGATACATTAGGCATTTTAACCCAATTTCAGGATTTTAATTTTATTCATATTACATATTATAATTTTCTAGAGAAATTTTTGAATCTCAATTTTGGCATCCAGCTGTCTAGACTCTTTATGATATGCCTTTTCTGACATCAGTGAAGTCACTGATTTAATATGCTTAAGAGGACAAAAGCAAGGACAGATGAAACCAAGTTGACATGGATTCTTTATTCAATAATAGTCCAGTTTTTTATTTAATAAGGCTGAATTGATTATATCTTCTTGAAAAAATTCATAATAAAGCCATGATAAATGATATATTTTATTTGAATAGTTTTAGAGTACACAAAGTGTTTTTGTATAAAGGCTCTAAATTTATCTTCCTTAAAACTCTTTGAATTAAGCAATATTATCTGACTTCAACAGTGTAGAAATTGAAACTCAGAGAGTGAAATAACTTATCATGAATAATAGTTTTGCAAAAGGTAGAACTGGGAAAGAAACATCCTGATATCCAGGAAACTTTCCAATACACAGTTTTGCCTCCTAAATGACTGCCTCAAATTTGAGTTGCCGCATCTATTATTTTTATAGAACGTATAAGATCTACACAGACACTTTCACAATGTGAGGATAAAATCAAAATGCATTGATTTAAAAAATGTTAAATCATTTTCAAAATGTCATGTGTAAATATGATGTATTTACTCTGTATGTGTATGTGTAAATATGATGTGTAAATATGATGATTATTACTCTGTATTTATCTTTTTCTTTCTTTCTTTCTTTCTTTTTTGTTTTGGAGACAGAGTCTTGCTCTGTCGCCCAGGCTGTAGTGCAGTGGCGCGATCTCAGGTCACTGCAACCTCTGCCTCCTGGGTTCAAGTAATTCTACTGCTTCAGCCTCCGCAATAGCTGGGATTACAGGCACACGCTGACATGCCTGGCTAGCTTTTTTGTGTTTTAGTAGAGATGGGGTTTCACCGTGTTGCCCAGTCTGATCTCCAATCCTGAGCTCAAGTAATCTGCCCACCTTGGCCTCCCAAAGTGCTAGAATTACAGACATAAGCCACCGCACCCAGCCTGTGTATTCATCTTTATAGTTATCTATACCATAACCTATGCCTCTGAGAAGAAACACACACACATACACATATATAAAACACAAATCAATAATAAAATCTAATCCTTCTAAATGTTTCGTATAGTACCATACCAGGTGTTTCACATACAATATTTATTTTAATCTTGTCATCCATGTTATATTGTTTAACTGGTAACCATAATCTTTATTTTAGAGTTGAGAAAAGTAAGATTTAAAGAGGTAATTGTATTTTGAGTTCACATAGTGCCATTGTAGGATGAAAACACATCTCCATGACTCCAGTGCCAGTGCTCTTCCACACTAACATTTGAATACTATTTCAGTAAATTACTGTTGTCTAAAACAATACTAATATTCAAGAATCTATTCCAATTTTTTTTCTAATAATTACATCAATATCAACCTCTTCTAATTTGTAATTATCACTGGTCTATTTTGCAAATTGGAAACTTCATCATCTCAAATATTTTGGAAAACATCAGAGACATTTTCTGTTTTTCTGAGATTTCAAAAAAATCAAGAATAATGACTTTCCGTTTAAATATGCAACTATATTTTAAAAATAATTTGGAATGTGTCCTGAATGTTTAAATTCCCTCAAAATGCCTATTTGTTTTATTAGTATGTCTTATTTCTCTTAGGTATCATGCTTCTGACTTTTTATTTTTCTCTCTCATTTCTTATTTCTACTTTATTCATAGGGAAAATGGAGGGAAAATTGGAGTTAGAAAATTTTTCAGGTTCTCCGTTATCGTTCATTATGAAAATATCCACCTATGGGCCTGACCTTTCTTTGCTCCCTGCTTATAACCATAGTTGGAAGAAAATTATGACAAGTGGCATTTCTTTTGTTTTGCTGTAAAAGCTCAGCACAGACTTTCCTATTAATTCTGCTGACCTATCTTCAAAGCTCCAAACCTGTGTTCTGAGTAGTATTCATCAACACCCAAACCTATGCTCATCATTGTTCCTTGTCGAAACATGCTGATTATGAGGCAATGACTGTTGAAGGAACTTGTTTTCATTTTAACTTTATTCCTTCCATAGGTTATTGCTTTACAAATGTTTTATGCCACATAATAGATAAAATGCTACTTCTTCAGACAATCGTATATCAGAAAAATACTATACTAATTATATCATATCAACAGTAAAATTGTTTATTCCTTTTCTTTGGGACTATTCTTTCACTTGCCTAGTTTCTGGCACTGTTTTTGCTTGACTTCTGTCTCCTACTTTGGACTTTCTTCATAGATTATTGTTAGTGTTGCCAGCCAATTTAGGGACTATTTATTCTCTACACTTAATTTTGAAACAATTAATTTGTGCTAGCAGATCTGTGTAACTTCAGAGCACACTTAAGATATAGCATTTCCACCAAACAGATATAATAATCATATATAACTATGGAACATAAGTAATGGTATAGTATAGTAAATAATTAGAAAGTTATGAGGTTGGAGTATGTATTATTTGTTTTAAATATAATTTAAATTTTACATTGAATGTAATTTAATTTTAAATAATGGTTATGTTTGACAAGAAGTTGGCCAAATTCCTGAAATTTTAATAACTGGCTATTTCAAGCCAATACCAGTTGTTTCTAGCATCTTACTAGAATATAATAAATCCTGACTTTGCTAAGGACTTTTCTGGTGTGTTATTTAACCTCTCTGAGCTATGAGTTTATTCATCAGCACGAATTAGATAAAATAACATATGTAAAGCTCTTAGAACAACATTCAGAATATGGTAAGTACTCACTGGCAGATATTGCTGGGCTCCTATTGTAAGAAAAATATTTAAATAGGTTATAGCAAGAAAATACAGAATCCACATTAACTTTAAATTTGCATATTATAACCATAATGACAAAACTTTAGATCTGTTGCTTTATTTCAAAATAATACATTAAAATATTTTTTAATTAATTTTTACTTATTGAGCTATTTTCATCTCTAATTGTGAATGTACTATCAAGGAATATTTTTTTTTGTGTTAGTATTTTTATGCTGCTATAACAGAATACCACAAAGAGTAATTTATAAAAGATTAAAGTTTATTTGGCTTATGGTTCTAGAGGCTGAGAAGCCCAGGGTTGAGGGACCTGTGTCTGTTAAGGGCCATCTTGTTGTGTTATTCTATGGTGGAAAGAGGAAGGACAAGAGAGCATGAGAGAGAGAGCAAGAAGAGGTTGAACTCATTTTTATAACAAATCCATTCCCGGAGTAACAAATCCAGTCCCTCAAAATGGACATTAATTCATGCATTAGGGCAGAGCCCTCATGAACTAATCACCAATTAAAAGTCCCACCTCTCAATACTTTTGCTTTGGGGATTAAATTCCCAACACATGAACTTTGGGGGACACATTCAAACCGTAGCACTCATGAATAATATTTATAGATTTTTTTCTAAAGAGACATTTCAAAATATAATGCCTAAGGTGAAGATTCCAAATTATAGTGTAATATGTAGAACACTTTAAAACTTTAAATGGGAAAAGTAATTCCTATTCATAGCTTTCAGTTTTGCTAAACTACTTTCTTTGTATCATATAATAAATATATGTTTTTCCAACCTCCTTTTTCTGCCCTCCAGTATTAAGTCTGAAGAGACTTTATTATTCATTCACATGTTCGAAGGTAGCTGTTTCTACCTTAATAGAGCCAAAGTTGTCAACTTTTCAAACAGTAACTTGTTTTCTATGCCCTTAGGTTTGAAAGAAAATAGTCTCATAATGGAAAAATAGTAAGCTGACTTTCTGAATGCATAAATGTCTCGATTCTTCATCACGCTATGCTCTGTTACCTGTCTGTAGGTGGTGAGATAGTCTTCTAACAATAGGAAATGGAGTTTGCGGATAAATATGCCATAAATAAAAATATTTGCTATTTCCCATTGGATTTTTGCAGTCTCAAAACTGAGCTCTTCAAACTTGGAGATACTACTCTCACCTGAAATTGTTTTAAATTGTAAATAAAAGTAAATGAATTCAAATGTGATATAAGGGAGAGAAAATGATTTTATGACTATTCAGTTCAAAATATTTTGAGCCATTTCCAAAAAATATATGGGTTATAGTAGATAATAGATTCAGACTGTGACAGATGTCTGACAGGTAAAAAGGTTGTTTTTATAATAATTAGGCTTCATATTACTAATCATAGTGTACCAATACTGATAAACCATAATACCAGGGCAATACCAGATTAATTTATTCTCAATTTTTAAATGATTTATCTCAATGATAAGGTGATAATGAAGAATTATTTTTATGAAACTAGAGTCAAGACGGTAAGGTTTTAACTGCCTCTGTATATGTCTTGCAATACATAGATATCATTTTATTAAGTAGAAATATAGGAACAGATATAAGGTATTTCACATTGAACTGTGCTTAATGATCTATTTTCATGGCATTCCTTTGGGTAATCAGCAATTTTATTGCTTTAATATTGTAGAAGTTCTAGATTAGTTTTGAAGGACAAATAGAGGGGAAAGCCAACATCAGATCAATGACTTGACATTGCTAGTCAACTTAAAGCATGAAAACATCCATTTAAAAATCTAACTAGCAGCTCTTCATCAGCAGTCAACAGCAGTACTCTAATTATGTTGAGAAATCTTCCAATGTATTAGAGAATTTTTCTTCATCAAGGAATGTGCATGGGGATTTAATATTATAACCTAGACAAAGACCAAATGAGAATAACATATTTAGAGAAAGGTATAATGAGTTATTTTTTCCAAAATGTTATGAATAAATTGCAAATGTATATCTTCATTCTAAATTCTGTATCTAGAGTGAAGCTGAAAGATTAACCATAATTTGAAGCAAAAACTCATTTCTCTACATAGTAGGATTTTTAATTATCTTATCACTCTCAGTACAACTCCCATGAGAAATGTTGAGTAAAATGTGAGACCTTTTGCATGTAGGTAGCGTCTGAAATGTGGTTTTGTCTGGTTACAGTTGGCATTTAAGGATCTGCCTTCACCTCCTCTTTGCCGTTTTTTCAAACATGCAAGGCACACTCTTGCTCATTTAAAAAAAATATTTTCTCCTCTCTCTTCCATAAAATCTCCTCCTTTGAACTCTCCATGTCACTGCCTTATATCCTTCAGATAGTTACTCAAATGTCATCCTCCCAGAGCAGAAACCCACCATATTTAAGATTGCCATATTTATTTAGTTTTGGTCTTCTTATCTTCCATTATGCAATGTGTTTTACTTATTTATTTTACTTATTATATTATCTTCCTTTCACAAAATAGAAAGTAAGTTCCATGATGGCAGGGATTTTTTTTTACTGTTTTTCCAGCCCTTAGAGCAATGTCTGGTATATACTATGTTAAAAATTAGTTGAATGAACTAATAATATGCCTGATGCAAGCTGAGGAGCTCGTAATTGGACATAAACAAAAACTGACCCTAGAGTTTATTAGTGATAACAATAGCCAATTTGAGATTTTTAGATATCTAGAATCAAAGGTTTAAAATATTTTCTTGGAAATAGGCAGAATACATTTATCTTATAATTTAAATGTCCTAATTCTTATTATCAATGCAATTTATTTTGGTTCATTACATTCGTTCATTTGTAAAGTCATGTATTGAAAGGGTATGTAAAACTCCTACAATGTATTAGGCACTATGTAAATGCCATGGATATATTGGAGTGTGTGACTAGTAAAAGCAATAGGTTTCAGATAATCTTACAAAAATATGAACTTACAGATGTTACCAATGCATTTTATTAAAATGTATAATAAGGTGATCTGACTTAGTCTGGGATATCAGGGAAAGAATTCCTGAGGAAGTGACAATTGAACCGATGTCTTAGGATGAACTGGTTTCTAGGTAAAGCAAAAATGGCAGAGTAGGATGTGTCAGCCAGGGGAAAAAAACACGTGCAAAAACCTTATGGCAATTTAGAGAAACTTGATATGTTGTATTCATTCCTATGAATACAAATAATTTTATTTAATTTAAACTATATTTGGATTAAAATGATTTTCATTAGGATTTACCTAGTGTGGCATATTTGTGACATTTATTAATATTTTTAAACTAAATTGATTAAAGGATGACTCTTCCTTGAAAAATGAAAGGTTTAAATACTAAAAATTTTATTAATAATTCCTGACAATCAGGAGGATATATATTGTCCACAAATTAGTATTTGACAGTTCAATTTTGTAAATTGAAGATTTTACTACTTTAATAAATTTGTGTGCATATTATAAAAATCCCATCTAAGCAAAGAACATCACAAATTTATAAAGGATTTAAAAATTGTAATGCAAACATACATATATACTCTCACTTAAAATTCAAAAAAATGTAAGCAATTGACTGAATGCCATATTACTAATGAAGAACCAGAAGCCTAATGCATTCAGATTTATGACTTCAAGCCTGGTGATTTATCTCTACCATGTTTCCAGAATTACTTGCCATCATGAAGAAAATTAAAACTAAGGAAAATCAATAAAACTATGTTCTATAAGGGGAACTATTAAGATATGAAGTAAAATATTTTTATTACTCTATAATGCTCTCAGTTTTGATTACATTAAAAGTATTCTCTAGTTTATAAATACATTATTATTACTAGTTTGTAAGAAATCATTCTTCAAATTTTGGAATGAAACAAAATTGCTATCTAATTTTACATTTAGAAAATAAACAACAGAAACAAAAATCTAGTGCAGGACCTCAACCTTAATAAATGTACTAAAATAAAATAAATTGTTGCTTTGATTAGAAATTAAAAAGTAGAGAATACTAGGAATATTGCCATATAATGAATGAAATTAACACAAAATCTAGGGAAACATTTTTAAAGACTGTAATAAAAATTAAGCCCAGGATTCTAATAATAAAAAATAATTTGATTATTTCACTCTAAACCCCACGAAGGTGATCTGACAGAACACCAAATGTCACGGAATTATTTTTAGTTATTCATTTACACTGTGACTTTGATATAAAGTTAACAGCACCTTGAGAATTCGCTATTTTTTTACTTGAAAAAATAAAATAGAAAAGTATGTACTATAAAAATTTTCAGAAGGAATATTGACAGATTACACCCCAAAAAGTAAATTAATTAATCAATAATTTGTCTTAAATGATGAAGACTTAATACTCCAATAAATGTATTAACATAAATCTGAGTATCTGTGGAAAATAGTGTTTAAAAAATGACTCACAAACTCTAAGTTCCTTCCATTAGGATCCCTTGGTTAATTTTATAAACAGATATTTGTTTTGTATAGTTAGTTTAACATTTCCCTATCTCTTGTGTACTGAGTCAGAGATCATTCTACTCCTACTCCAGGACTTGTCTCTCAGATCACTATGTTCTATGTGACAGAAAGACAATCAAAAGACATATGGCATTAACAATTCTCAATTTTACTTCCTGTTTCTTTTGAGGCCGAATCAATGCAAACCATCTGTCTCAAGTAGAAAATGAACATTTTTAATTTTCTTCTTTTTGAAACCTTTTCAGTTTATATTTTTGTTTTTTGTTTTATCTTTGTTGTTGTCACTTTTAGAAATGCTTCAAAATCGTACTAGATGTATTATTTGCTGAATTGTTTTTGTATTATATTGTAACCCACAATATCGTTTACAGGCAAAATAATGGTATATCATGAGACACTTAGGTTCCCGGGGAAAAAAGAAGCATCATCTTCATCTATAAATAGGTGTTTTTCAGGTATCATAGAGCTTGAGATCATCTATTGTGCCTAAAATCTTCCAGAATTTTATTAGCCTCTTACAATTGCCTCAGAAATTTTACTCCTAAACCGCTCTCTGAATTTATTGACCTGAGATAAAATATTTTAAAATGGAATCAGTCCTATAGATGCACTCAGTAATAAAATTCATAATTAAATACTTTATAAAATGGGATATTCAGGGAATTGCCAGAATATTCAGAGATAAATAAAGAATCAAGGAAAATCTTAATTTTAGTTAATTCTCTAAGGTCTGGTTTGTCACCATATCCATCTGAGGAAAAACTAAAATATCCAGCTCTATATATGCATATGTTCTAGATGTATAGCATAGTCTAGACATTTTGTGTTTCATAAAGAGATAAAGCGTTCATATTTTGTACCTAGTCACACCCATCATGCCTAAAACATTCTGTTCAGAATACTAGCCTTATTTTATTAGGTTCCCTTTTAAATTTCATGGCTAGTATGTATGTGATCATGCTATCTTGCCCTGTGTTCCATTCAGACTTTAGCATCAACAGTTCAAATCTGTGAAGCTGGCCATGATGTGGTGAGATAAAAGCCTGAGTGGTTTCTGATTTCCCATCAACCCTAATGTAAACCTAGCAAGCAGAAGGAACTCGAATATCTGGTTCCCATTGTTTGTCCAAGGGCATAAAAAAGCTCACTATTAAGTAGAACACTTATGTGCCACTCATTCCACACATATCTATAAATTTGGCTAAAGGAAAATAAAAAGAATATCTCATATCAAAACATTGACTGCTTCTAAGTGCTCCTGCCCCAAATATAAATTTTATGAAAATGTTTACATGAAGCATATTTCTTCAATGAGTATAAACATGAAACAATTTATTAGAAATAATCATTGTCATGTGTGATGCATGGATTCAGGTTTTCTTGCTTGTGTTTTTCAATTTTCCATTTTAAACTGGGGAAGGTTAATTGCTGTTACCCTTTCATGTTTCTTGTTACACAATCACTCTGACTGAAACACCATATGAAGTTTTAGAACCTAGCAGTGTCCGGATCAAAGTCAATGTCATCTAAAGAGATGAACGATTAGCAGTTGATCTTGAGCAAGATAGCTTCCTAAATGGAAAATATGTAAGAGTGAATTCAATCTCTAATTTGAATCATGCTGTATGTTAAAACCTTTTGAGTTGTTTGTTTTGCTATAATCTTATGTTTGCTCTTATATTATTGGAAATATTTATTTGCAGAAATAAATATGAGTTTACTGTACTCATCAAGGACAAAGTAAATTTTTATGAAATGATTTATTATCAAAATGCCTTAATATCTTTTAGAACACAGAAATCTGATTCAATAATTTGTTAGAATTAGGAAGCATCATCATAGAAAGCAATATACATAGTATAATTGGGTCATAAGTTTTGAAACAGAAGGCGTTTCCCAAATCCTCCAACCTATTTTCTTCGTGTTATAGAAACAGAATTAGAGACACACGGAGCATAAGTGAGTTGCCTAAGGTCATGATGCTTTATAATGGCAGAACCAGAATAATAACCATATCTCCTGCCTCTATCTCTAATTTGTCAGGCCCAGGTGTCAAAATTTGAATAGCACATACAGTAACTCAGTCATTCCCAGACTTTAGAGCTTTATATATCTCTTAAATTAAAAAAAAATAAGTAAAATCTGTAAAATTGGCATAGGGTTTTCAGAACTGTATTTCACCTAAGACAAAACCCAAAAATAAAATTAAACTGTCAAAAAAGAACCATTGTCTTTTGATTATCCCATAATAGATGTTTTATTACTACCCAAAAAGAAAATAGGGATTACTTAATAGCAAAGAAAATCCATTTATATTCAATAAATATTCTAAAAACTGTACAGCTTATTATTTCATTCTTCTGTCATATCTCTGAAACAAACAATATCTCAAAACCTGCCAACACTATTTCATCTAACATTTGAGAACTGCTGTTCTAAGTTATATGGTCTTAAAACTACTCAGAGAAAAATGCTGGGCAGTTGTCCATATTTTATAGATAAAAAAAAAAGGGTTTGCTGCTAATGATCCAAGGTCACAGGGCAAGAAAATAACAGAGAAAGGCATGGAAATGACAGAGTCCAAGCCAAAATGGAATGTTATTTCCACTTATCAAACACCCTCAGAAAAAGAGGGAAAAGAAAATCCTTTCCTCATTTTAAGAGAAAATGTTTAAAGTGGAGTAAAAATATGTTATGAAAATGCAAGCCTACACAAAATAATCTTGCTAGTTAAGAGCATATACAATTCGTTGTACCACATTTTCTTGATGAAAAAGAAGTATGTTATTATATGCCATTTTAAATCAAATTTACTTCTTTTATTCTGAAAAAGAAAAAAAGATAAAATCAGGTTATTGTTAAGAGAAAAGGCACCTGTTTATACAGTTCTATTCAAACAACTTTCTATAAAAATGCTTATTTTCTCAAACTGGAGAAAATAATAGAAGAATGATATTAAATACAGAAACTTAAATTTATTTTAGATTCATAATTATGCACAGATACAAATGCCATATTTTGTCTCTTCAGTGCCTCAGCACTAGAACAGAACTACTAAAAACAGTACCAGTTGTCATATGGCTTACTTTCTACGTTTATGTTTACAATTACTGAGTTATATCACTTCACCAGTTGAGAATAGGTTCTTTCAGAATAAGCCAAAGTTTCTCCTGTGCTTATTCGTCCATTCAGTCAATAAATACTTATCAGTCTCCTACTATTGTCCAGACAGGAGTGATAAAGCCACTGATACACCAGTCAGAACTCCCTGCTTCACCTTTCATTGCAGTAAGGAAAGACAGACACTAAGCAACAACAACAACAACAAATACACACATTTTTTTTCTCATAAGTGTATAAGTGTTATGATGAACAACAACAACAATTAGGAAAGGGTAACTGAAGTGCCAAGATATTGGGAGGTGAAGGAGCCTTATCATTGCTAAGGCTGTGATTTTGGATGAAATTTTGAGGAACGTAAAGGAGTGAATAACATGAATACTGGGGAAAAAAAAAGGTGTAGTCAGGGAAAAGAGAAGCGGCAGACTCTGTGGCAAGATCATGCTTAGTATGTTTAAGGAAATGACAGTAGGTCAGTGTGGTTGTATGTGAGTGAACAAGAGATAGATCAGTAAGAAATAATAAGGTAAAATTTAATGAGGGCTTATGTTATAAGTTCTTACAGACAGACCTCTGAGTGGTTATTCTGGATGAGGTGGGAAGGCAGTGGAAGATTTTGAATAGAAGAGGAACATGACTTAGTTTTTGACAATAACACTCTGGAAGCTGTGTTGAGTAAAATCTTTAAAAAAGACTTAGAGGAATTGTGAGACTACTGGCAATTTTAGGGAAAGATGGTGGTGGCTTGCATCAGCATAATTGCAGTGGAGGCATTGACAAGTAGTCAGATTCTGGATAAATTTTGAATATGCTGCAATAGGATTTGCCAATTTATTGAATCAAGAATATAAGAACGAAATATTAAAGCGAAGGAGGACCCCCCCCAAATTTTGATCTGAGCACCTACATGTGAAGTTGTTATATGTTAAGATGGAGGAAGCTGCAGGTAGAATTGTTTGGGAAAGAAGATTAGAATTTTGGTTTTAGACATATTAAGTTTGAGACAGCTACTGGACATTTAGATGGAAATGTTAAATAAACTCTTGGAGGTGTAAGCTCAGAAAAGAAGCACATTTTGGAGATACATTTTATGAGTCATTTTCACATCTGTGGTAATTAAAACCATGATATTGGATGAAATCCCAAGGGAGATGGACGTAAGAAGAGGTTACGTCCAGTCTGTGCTCTTGGACATTCTAATGTTTACAGGAGAGGAAGATAAGATTGAAGCATCAAAGGAGAATGAGCAGGAGCAACCAGTGAGGGAGGAAAATAACTAGAAAAATGAGTTGTCACAGAAACTACTTCAAGAAGGAGTGAGAAAGGTTAACTGGATCAAATGCTGTTGCTAGATCAAATAGGAGAAACACTGAGAATTGCAAATAGGATTTAGCAGTGTGAAGGCCACAGGTGAGTTTGATGAGAAATTTCAGTGATGCTGTAAGTTAAAGAGAAAATGAGAGGAGGGGAATTAAAGTTAGTATAGCATTTTTGAGGAGTTTTGATGAGAAAGTTACAGGAATAGATTAATATTTGGCTAGTGAGGTGAGTTCAGGAGACGCATATAAGAAACGACAGCATGTCTAAAGCTGTAGGAATAGGGCAATAAAGAAAAAATGTACTAAAGAGAGATGACAAGATGTGATGATGTCCAACAGTACATGGAGGAGAGAATTGCTACAGTGATGTCTTAGAAGAGATGAGAAGGGATCTAGGACATATGTAGCAGAGAGCAGCAACCTGAAATTTAAATCACAGACCATTCATTCATTAAGAGGAAGGATGTTTAAGTATGAATGGATTCAAGATGGGAGGAGAGGGGGTGGTGGTTGCTTGTGCTAGTTGCCTCCTGATTCATTCGATAGTCCAAGGGCTTTGGAAGCAAGGTTGTCCATTAAAGCATCATCTATCTAATGCCATTATTTTAGAATAGGACATCTTTCTCCCTCTTGCATATAATTATCACATATTCATTCAATAAATAGTTACAGAAATAGCTAGTAGGACAACAGTAGTGATCAAGACAGACCTTCTTGTCTTCGTGGAGTTTCATGGAGCATCTGAAAAAGGAATTAAATATGTAATTACACAAATAAACCACTGAAAGCCCTACAGTTGCAAAAATGCAGTTTCTAGTCTGGTTAGGGGAATTGAGAAGGAGTTTTCTCAAGTAGAGACACTGAGTAAACAACACTGAAAGTGCAGGGGAGTAAGGCTGTGTGTACACGAGAGTCAAAGAAGAGAATGTGTAAAGACCTTGAGAAGAGAAACAGCTTGAAGTCAATGAGAAAAGGAAAAAGCCTAGCCATAGAATCTAATGAGAATAAGAGGAGGAAACAGAAGATGTGGCTGAAGAGGAAGTGGGGGGAAGTATATTAAGGCCATTTTAAATGTTCTATCAAAAATCTTTAGCAAAAATTTTGAAATGGAAGAATAACTTGAGTATTCTCACTTAAGCAAGTACCTTGCTGAATTGCTTTCTAACAATGGCAATATTATTGAACTTGGTGATCAGTGATAATATTACATGCTTTTCTTTTGGATTTTGCACACTTAAAAATTCCAAATGGTGTTTTATGAGTTCCCAAGGCAATAACTAAAATACTTTTATATTATGCATGAATAATAAGTCATCAACAGTTTAGTACTAAATGTTTATGCTGGGCATCCCGCTGTTTATGATTCATTGTAGATTTGTTTTGAAATAAGTGCCCCCACCTTCCACAAAATGTTTTATGTAGATAGAAAACTAAATACATAGACATAGAGGTAAGTAGATACTCATGTATATATGATTTATCTATCATTCCAAGGCTTTTTCTTTTTAATAAAAATATAAAATCTTTATATATACATAAACCTTGCATGACTTTGAACTTCTTGATTAAGCATTCAGTTACATGCATTTTTTCCATTGATCTGGCTTCTGCTCTCAAATTGTTACAATTGCATATTTTACAAAATGTTCTCTTTTAATACATGTATTTGCTAAGTGATTTCTTAGATGATGAGGTAATGATTATAATACCTTTTCACTTTCTTTATTGAAACCAACTATATATATAAAATAATAAGTAAATATAAAATTGACCCTGATTTCATAGTTTCAAAGATATTTTTCTTTTTGAATTTCAAATATACAGCACTCATTTTTTTTGACAAATAGCACTTATTATAAAGAACCTCAGGGTCATTATGTGTGAGCCACAGTATTATGTAAAAATGAGAACTATTATTGGTATTTCTGAAGAATTTAAATTTTTTTGGTCAAGCAGTGACCTATGTACTACTGTTACTGTCACTTTGTCAAAGCAGATCACTATTTTCCAGAGAATAATATCAAGATGCTTATTATGAAATGATATCTCACAAAAACAGTGCTAATATTTTATAATAAACTGATAAGATATGTAATCACTTGTTCTAGTATCTCTTACAAAGTTAAAACAAAAACAAGCCATTAATACACACAAAGATACACACACATCACAATTCCTTTGACCTCAATATTCGATTAACCTTGAATTCTTCTCTTAACTACATTCTGTCCATTTCCATATGATGTTATATAGTGCTTAATAATAGTATCTGTCATCAGCAGTCGTTGCTACTGAAATGATGTACTTTGACGTAATAAAAAATCAAAATTCAAGATTCTTTTAAAAATCCTTTGGATCAATCACAACATGGATTAAATAACTTATATTACATCCTTGCTATTCACTATTTCAGAATTCTTAATCTCTCAAGGAATTAAATTCTATCTTTGACTCAGTAACTTCTCACATTTAGTAGAAATTTGTCTTCTTGTTAATTTTCATTAGTATTGATTTTCCCACTTAGCAAAACATAATGGTTTGTTTATAGTTCTCTGCTTTGAACTGAACTAAAAATCACGATACTATTAGGCTAATGTAAATGTAAGTAATATAAATGCAAGTAAACACTAAGAGGTTGAACAGAGGCCATGTTTTAAGGTGGTTTATGAAAAAAAAAGCTTGGGTGATTTTCAGTAGCAAAGTGTACAGTATATTATAAGAAGAAGAAATAGCATTAATTACACAGAAGAATGCACATGAAAAAGCTGTTGTTATGCCCAGGGATATTGGACAGCCCAGTTGGACTGAAATGTTGAGTATGAACAGGGGAATAATGGGGCAGTATACTGGAAAGGCAAGTTAAGGAAATATTCTAGAGGAATGTGAATATCTGACTTAAAATTTTGAATTTCATTTAATACATGTATAAATCCTTTGAAAAAAATTTAATATGGTATTTATATGTTAAAAGTAAGCTTTATGATTGTTAATCTTAAGCTAATACAAAGAAGAAATGAGTTTGAAAAAGAAAAATGATAGAACATTGTTATTAGCCAGTGATAAAATAATGCTTGAACTGAGGTGATAATGACAGGAATAGACAGGAACTGATGATTATGTTTTTAAAAAATAAATATTAACTGCTAAGTACTGGAGTAATCTTTTATCTGCACTATCTCAAATAATGTCATAGTAGAAGAGCTCTAAGAATCCCTGTTATACAATGAGAAAAATGATCTTCAAAAGCTGAAATAACAAGCTCAAGGCCATACAAGTAGTGAACAAACAGTGAAGCAGGGCTATCAATCTTCCTCTCCCTAAAACGAGGCACACCCAAGATTCATTCTTTAGCTCTTTAGCTTTCTATTTTTAAGTTCTTTAGAAGGTTCATTTATTGAATGGCTGAGTCACTTATATAATACCCAGCCAGATCCATGTTTCTAATCATAACTTCTCACTCAAGTCTAAATTTTGCATGAATCAACTTTCACCTGGAAAATTCACCTCAGATTTTGCATCATCCTGAAACTTTAAGTAAAAATTCTCTCACGAACATTGTTATGCTATGTTCTATCTGATGAGAATTTTTTAACTTCTTGTATTTCTTTTATTGCACTGAATACAAATCAGCCAATCTACTGTGCAATCAGTAAATTGTATTACACTTTCTGGTGAGACTTCTCTTATCTGTGGTTAGGATTGGCTATTTAAGTGATCAAATTTATAGTATGTTTGCCTTTTATATTCTATTGCAAACAATTCTTGATAAAATATAGAATAAAAAAGTTTAGATCAGTTTATAAATGCCTCCCAGAACCATTTCCTGCCACTTCACAAATAACTCTGAATCTAAACTTTGTTCCCTTTCTCTGAAATCTTATTTTTTTGACTCATTTAGGCTACAATATTGATAGCCATATATGACTGCTTTCTGACCACATGCAAGGCAGTCTTGCTAATTTTTCTTTTATTTCTTGAGTTTCTCCCCTTTTTTTTTCTATTTCCATGAAAATTGTGTATTTTTTTTTCCTGGGTCTCACAAATACCTTTTTTATTTCACTAATTTTATTGCTTTTTTACAACCTATATTATACAGTTGCCCTACATTTTCCTGAGTACATTTAGTAGAGTAAGTTAAAAACTAGTAGGTACCTAATGACTAAAGATAAATTTATTATTTACTTTATGTTGATCTTTACAACAGTTCCACTCACAAATTCTCTTTCCCAATAAATATGATCTCACATTATTTCCGAAGTATTCTCCCATTCCCAGTCCCACCTCTACAGCTCTTTTAAATAATCGTTACATATAATGCTATTTTGTTTGTCTCTTAGCCGTTATAAACTCTAATTTTATTCTGAAGTACAACTCAGGACGCTGTGCAAAACCTTGGTAGTGTTTTCTTTAATATTTTAAAGCCTAATAGGACTCACTACTCATTTGACACATCATTATTTATCACTTGTGTTGAAACTTTTTGATTTTACACGTTCTTTTCTTCCAAAATATATCATAAATGCTCTGAGGGCACACATATTATTTTATTTCTCTTTAGAGTGCTCTTGCCATGCATGCAGCCTTATAAACATATTAAGTATTTTTAAATTATAGGGATAGTGCATGCTCTCTTCTGAAGTACATAATTTTTCAGAGACGGTGTATGAAATGTTCTCACTGCTGATGTTCTTGTGTGTGTGTGTGTGTGTGTGTGTGTGTGTGTGTGTGTGTGTTGGTAGTTTTAGGGAAAATCACAATGTTTTAAACATAATTGCAAAATGCTCTATAGATAAATATAAAAGATATACATTTTATATCTTGGGAATGTTTCTGACTTAATTTAGACAGATTAACAATTCTAGTTATGGAGTATCACATATCAATGTAAAACCATACTGATCTGTGATTTTGACTTTTCCACAATTAAAAAATAGTTCACAGATTTGCAGAGGGATCAAGTTTTAGAAAATTGTATAGCTTATTAATAAATAATTATAAGACAATCCTTCAATAAAAGAGAGATGCATATACTGATTAGTTTGGGGTTTCAGGAGTAAGAAATACCTTTTCATTTAAATTAATAAGAAACAATGGTATTTTAGCAAAGTGGCATGCATGCAGCTTGTGCTTTTCTGTAGTATTAATCTCTGCCACAGAGTCCCTGTAGCTAATCACTTCAATAAATATGTTATAAGAGCCTAAATACATGGATAATCTTACACTGTTGTTAACCTTTCCACAGAACAGATGAATTGCTTTGAGTACATTGTAATAGTGGATCAGTGACTCTCTATGCAAACAGTCTTTAAAAAGTGAAGATGTTTAAAGAAAACATTTCTTGAAAATGCTTTTATTAATCATCAAAATACCATGATAGAAGATACAATACTCTTCAAATGAGATTCAGTGGGTCTATATTCAGCTTTATATTATGGGAAATTTTAGATATTTCTTTTCAAGAAATAAAATTTACATTTTTGTTATATTTAATTGTATATATTTCCTGCAGAAATATTTCTTTATTCCTGCATGTTTTTAAGTTTTTAGCTTTTTATACAGAAGATATTTTAGTAAGTATATTAAACTGGTGATAGTCTCTAAATTTATTGACTACCAATTTTTTTAGTTATCTAAAATATTAAGATTTTAATTTTAAGAAAATTAATTTTACTGAAGCAGATATCTGAATATTGTAAAAGTCTGCAATATTTGGTATTCTCACCAATAATGTTAATGGGTTCTAATTTCTCTACATACTTACCATCACTGGTCTTTAAAAGAAAATAGCTGTTTTAACTGTCTTCTTTGGACAGATATTTGTTCAAGTAGTTTGCCAACTTTTTAATTGGGTTATTAGTTTTTTGCTATTAAGTTTAGAAGTTCATTTTTTATTTTTGGAAATCAACTGCTTATTAGATTTATTATTTGCAAACATTTTTTCCTATTCTGTAGGTGGCCTTTACTCATTGTTTCTTTTGTTGTGCAGAGCTTTTTAATTTAATGTAGTCCCGCCTACATTATCTATTTTTTGCTTTTGTTGCCTATTCTTTGGTATCATATCATTGCCAAGACCAATAATTATAAGTTTACATTAAGCTGATAACAACTTAACTTTAATCACATGCAAAAACTGTACATTTTTACTTCTCCCCTTCACATGTACTTTGTTATTGATGGCAAAATTCACTCTATTTTTATTGTGATGAACTCCCTCAACTTTCGCTTGTCTGAAAAGGTCTTTATTTCTCCTTCATTGTTGAAGGGTAGTTTTGTCATATACGGTGTACTTGGTTGGCAGTTTGTTTTTCCTTAACTTTTTTTTTTCTCATAACTTGCATCTGTCATTCTACTCTCCTTTGACCTGCAAAATTTCTGCTGAAAAGTCTTCTGATATTCTTATTGAGATTCTCCTGTACATTCAAGTTGTTTTTCGCTTGCAACTTTAAAAATTATCTTTATCTAAATTTTGACAATTTGACTATAATGTGCCTTCATGTGCATTTCTTTGGATTTTTCTTATTTGAGATCTTTGACTTTCCTGGATCCGGTTATCCACGTCTTTTCTGCGTTTTGGGAAGTTTCCAGCCATTATTCATTTATAAAAGCTTTCTAGTTTTTTATTTAAAAAAACTTATTAAAATTTCTGATAGTTTTAGAAGAGTTTACTAAAATTGAACAGTAATCTAATTGGTTTTGGGAACTTCATTAGCAACAGCAGATGCTATAGGAGAAATAAAGATATTTATTGGTTGAAAACAAAAACAGTAATTTTTAGTATAAAATCATCTAGTTAGCAAAACAGTTAAAATACAACAAATAAAAAGTGCTGAAACAAAGATATACTTTAAGGAAAGAATTTGAAAATGCACTCCATATAAAAACCATTAGCCAAAGATGAAGTAAAATAAAAAGAATTGCAAGAAAGAAAATGATACGTGACACAAAGTACTCTATTGTAGATAAGTTCAGGAAAAAAATAAATTCAAAGCGATCTTAAATAATCTCAACATCTAGGATTAAATGTAAATTAATATAACCATTCAGGAATATATTTGGGAATGTATGTAAAGACTACACAAAATACTTAAATCTTTTGACACAGTAACTTAAGATAAATATAAAAATAGAAATGTGGACACACATCAGAACAGAACATTGAATAGTAACAATAAATTGCAAGTTAATTAGCAAAATAATGGAGAAGTGTTTATCTAAATCATTGTGTGTTTGTATAGAATTATTAGATCAGGGTTAATAGAATTATCCTTGAAAAAAGAAACATGCAAAAATGTAAAAGATATCCTAATGTATATGTTATTTTAAATTTTGGGCAGATTATTTTAATTATAAACATTTCTGTCGATCAAACCTATTCTGGAGGTTATACGTTTAAAAGGCCAATTTACAATATTTTTGAGTAGAATATTATTTCAATTTTTTTAACAATGGATAAATGTAACATCTAATAGAGTAAAACATTTTAGATAACTTTTCAAAGAGTGCCATTGTGTTAATTGCCTGTTTAAACACATTTTAAGCAAGTATGAGAAAAGTATGAGAATAGTTTCACACATACGATGATATGCTGAAATATTATAGTGTTTTGTGTTTTCAAAGAGTTCACTAAATAGATTCAACATTTTAATCATGTTGCATCAAATTATTATTTGACTGCTAAATCTATCTTAGAAAAATCAACAGGACTTCTCAAGATGGTTGAGTAGTTGCAGATTTTGTATGTCATACCTAACATGTCTAAAAGCTTTCTCTCATTATGCAAAAAGTCATGAATAATCAGGTCAAGGCGGTATGCAAAGAAAATTATCAGACTGTGAAACTAAGGAAAGGCCTATTAGGCACAAGCTGTACACCTGTTTGCTCATTTCTCACTTTAAATGGTTTGTCATTGTGTTTATAAAATCTCATTATATTGAGAGTTCCATGAGGAAAGAAAGAAGTTTCTTAAAATAAATTCTACTCAACAATAAGCCATCTTATATTAAACTACATATTCTTCAAAAATCAAACCTATGCTTGAAATATGTGTGAAATATTATACATAAAACATATATTAAAATTATATCATTTAACTTATTTAGAATAAAATTTTTACTACAAAATATTGACACATTCCAACAAGAAAATCTGTCATTTTTTTTTAAATTAGATATTATTGTCTGTGCTGCCAAAATATCCACTTCAAAAACAGTTTGGTTTGGGGGCTTTTTTTTTTTTTTGCCTTTTTTTTTTTTTCGGACAGTCTCACTCTGTTGCCCAGGCTGTAGTACAGTAGTGTGAACTCGGCTCATGGCAACCTCCACCTCTCTGGGTCAAGTGATTCTCCTGTCATAGCCTCCCGAGTAGCTGGGACTACAGGCGTGAGCCGCCACTCTTGGCCAAATTTTTTTTTTTTTTTTTTTTTCAGTAGAGACAGGGTTTCACTATGTTGGCCAGGATGGTCACAAGCTCATGACCTCAAACAATCTACCCGCCTCGGCCTCCCAAAGTGCTGTGATTACAGGGGTGATCCGCTGTGTCCAGGCATCAAATATATTTTTACCTTTAAACTGAAACTTATATAGATTTCGAGAGAATTACCGTAGTAAAGAATATTTTATTTAGTCCTTTCACATATTGCTGTTGCAAAGACATATATTTGGCTTACAATATTCCTCAAAATGAGAATATTTGTTTTTATTTCATTCTGCATATTTCTAGCTTATTAAAACAATAGAACTGTAATACCTAAAATATATAAGATATTGGCTATATACGTTCTTCTGTAAGCCCTCAAAAAGTATCACACAGCAGGGTGACTATACTAAAAAAGAATACATTGTATGCTTAAAAATACCTAGAGGAGAAGATTTGAAATGTTTCCAGCACAGAGAAATGATAAATGCTTGAAGTGATGGATCTCCTAAATACCCTGACTTCATCATAACACATTCTATGCATGTATCAAAATATCACATGTAACCCATACATATGTACAAATTTTATGTATAAATAAAAAAGTCAAAAAAAGTTGGTAGATTTTAGAATTTGTATATTGAGATGTATATTTACTGGTATGGCAAGTTCAATTTTATATTCATTGGATAATGATTTTCTTTGATATGTTCATCAAATTATTATAATTTATATTTTTATATCAGGTTTAAGCAGAACATTTTCTATTAACAATTTGAAATTACAATGTAGTTTTTCTTATTATTTCTAACTTTTATCTTATTTTTTGACATTATCATGTTTATTAATATTGGTAGTAGTAATTTAGAAAGTTAAAATATTGCCCTTCTTCCATAAATATTATTCTCATTAATACTCTTTTAAAACAGTAGATTCTATAAACATATTTCAGTTATCAAAGCTGTCATCATTTAATTCTGTAAATGTAAGGATTGTATATGTATTATACATGTGCACTGAAAAATAGCTAATTTAAGAAATAATTGTATTCTTTGATTCATTTAACAAGCAGAAAATATTTATTTTATACTAAATGGGCTGGTGTTCTGTATTTGATACTTTGTATTTTATAGTGCTATATTACTTGTGTATGCAAACATATGCATTGGATAAATATTGTAATTTGTTTTTATTTTAGTTTTCATCAGTGCTATGACTCTTTAAGTGTGAGATGATTGAATAAAATAAGCTTATAACAAAATAGAGTATACTTTGCTTCAAAGATGTTTAGAAAATATCTGCAATGTACATTATGTATTTAGAATGTGAAGTCAAGTCCAATGTCATATGAAGTAGGGCAAGGATTAGTGAGGAATTTGAGGAATACCAAGTATAATTTGGAAGCAAAGCATCAGCCTTGTAATTATAACTTAGAGTTTCAAGAAGGACATATCTAAGCCTCTGAATGAGTTGAAAAATGTCAGTAAAGGTGCCAAAGCAAACTTTTGAAGCAGGGACAATAATTTACCACAGTGTTGAGTCTATGAACATGAAGAAGTGGATACTATAATAATTTAGCAAGAGGACCACAGGTTAATAAAATTGAACTTTATAGACTAAGAAAGGTTGTTTGCAATGAATATTTTAAAAACTCTGCCAGATAATTAAACTCTACGGAATGAAATGTGTAAGTAAAAATTAACAAAATGTTCCAAATTTTCCTTCTTAAAAATTTATTTGAATTGTGTTGTCCTTTGAAAAGTTAGCTCTAAGAGTTTGAGGATCTTTCTGATTATAGCAAATCATTCATTCATTTATTCACTTATTCAGCACTAAATAGTTATTTCTTCAATACTTACTAAACACCAGGCACTGTCCTAATTTCCATGGATATAGAAAAACTCTATTTAAAAAAGCACATAATAAACACAACATATATAATAAACACACCCATATATGTCAGATGGATGACTGCTATGGATGAAGACTGAACAAGGAGAAGAAGAAAAATATCAGGATGGAAGTGTAGGGGTGTTGTGGATGTGGAGGAATTTTCAATTTCAAATAGTATGGTCAAGAAAAACTTCACTGAGATTGTCACATCTAAGCAAAGACTTGAAGTTTTTAATGAAATAAGTTACATAGATTGCTAAGGGAGGAACATTCCCAGCTGAGGAAATAGCAAGTGAAAATAACTTGAGACAGGATTCTGCCTGCCTGCCTATGCATGGGAGGTCAATAGTGATCAAGTGAGTGATATATGAGGAAAAAAGGTAGGAATCAGGGAGGGTGTGAGAGAAGTGGGTGGCAGATCATCACAGGTTTTGTAGGACCTTGTAGGCTATATAAATAAGCTTGTTTTTACACTTAATGAGGTGGGTAGTCATGTTTTGAATGGAGGCCTGAGAGGATTTTGTACTGTAAAAAAGATCTGGCAAGTTGTGTCAAGCATCGAATATACATGAAGGGATTAGGGAGAGACAACGAAAAAAAGCAAGCAGATCGATTGGTAGCCTACTGAAATAATTCTAGAGAAACATGGCAGTGCCTTGGACCAGGAGATAGCACTTTGATGGGATAGCAGTAAAATTCTGGATGTATTTTGAAGGTAGTGCAGATAGGATTTGCTGATGTCCGAAGATGGGATGCGATTTGTGGTTATTAAAGAAGGCAGTTGGAAGGACAAAGCTGCTATTTACTGGCAATTGGAAAATTAGGATTGAGTTTCAGACAAAGATGGTTTGAGATGCCTATTCCACACCCAAATGGAAATATTGGATATATGAGTCTGGAGTTCAGAGGCAAATTTCATTCTGCAGATGTAGCTTTTGCAATGTTCAGCACATATATGGTATGAAATTCACAAAAGAGTTAACTGAATGAGATCAATGAATGAGTGTCGAGTATCGATAGGTAGTTCAAAAACCAATACCTAGGCATATACAGAGATGTGTTTTGACTAATAAAGTGGAAAATGCATTTAAAATATGTCTAAATGATGAAGGAAGTTATCTGGATCACATTCAGGAGTGAGTTAGAAACTAACATGCAAATTTTTTGTAAATAAATGAAATAAATGACAACAGGCAATTTAACTTTGAATAGGGAATTAACTCACATAACTCTAGTTTGAACAGCAAGTTACAATAAGTGCAAGAATAAAATATGGTTGCAAAATTAATATGAATAAAGTCTTTTTCTCCTACCACAACAAACCAAAAAGGACAGAATTTAAGTAGCAAATAATACAGATACCACTAAGAAGATCAGTTTCTTCTCATGAACATATTAAGATACAAGGACATGCAAGATGAAGAATAATACAATATTAAATGTATTTATATTTTAATCTAATATATTTCTAAAATATTAAAGTATTAAATATTAAATATTTTAAAGAGAACTGTGGAGAACTCTATGTAGTGACTTGTATGAATATAAAAGAAAGTTTGAATTTCAGTTTCTGGGTGATGTGGATTTGTCATAGAGTAGAAAATCAAAGCCTGAAAATGGAAATGTTGTACTTTTACTTAACCTTAGACACTGGTAAAATGAAAGGCGCAAATGACTTTGAAGGCTTCTCTAGGGAAGTAAGGTTTGAAGCTGAAACAAACTGCTAAATTTCTTAGTCTCAAATACACTGAAAGACATGGGCATTCTTGTATAATCTGGATGAGTGAATCTTGGCACAGCTGAATCTTCTCGCCCCTTTCAAGAACTCAAAGGACCATGGGCTAACAGGTTGATCTGGGACCGGAGCTGATCTAGCTGCAGAGGAATATAAGCTTGTGTGAGCATTTCTAACTTCTCTCAGGGACTATCCAAACTTTAGTTCCTATTTTATTTCAAACTCATGAAACACATTAATTCAACATTCGTAAGAGGAGAGGGTCTCCCTAACAAAGCTGTATTTTATTTTGTCCAAATCAAGAAATGCCCATTCTGATGGGCTAGCTTGAAATTAGGAACATCTAGCATATACAGGATTGCCAGGACTACAATAGGGAAGAAAGTAGTTTGATTCAAATTTGGCAAGTGACATTTGGAGTTTGAGTGAATTCAGCCCAAATGTCTTAAATTAGGTAATTGGCAATTTAAGGAACTGCACATTCAAAGTCACCTATTCCATTGAAGGAATGTCTAATTCAACTAAAGTCACTCAGGAACCTCCTTAATTATAATTCTAGATATAATTGACCCAAACATTGCTGTTTTTAACTTTGTAGTTTTAAAGAAAGAACACACATTAAGTATATATTCCAATCTATCATTTGATTATGCAAGCCAAATAAATTAATAGATTGCCATCAGTAGACTTAATATTGCATCCTATTTTTTGGGTACATATTAAATGTATTTCCATTTTGTGTTCCAGGCTAGAGGCATTTAGTATTGTCTATAATAATCTATAATAAAAGAGAGCAAATACAAGTTTTCTGATTTTATAATATATACTTTAGTTATCATTCAATATCAGTAATTTGATGTCCTGAAAATTTACACTGAGGAACAAAACCCAAAGGACCTATCCATATTATGAGAAGCCTCATCACACAAAATATATTGTTAGTTTGAATGCCCCTCTGAAAATTTATTTTTTATTATTTACATCTTTGGAGTAGCAGAAGTATAGAATTTAACTGAACAAATAACTTCAAATATAATGCAATCCTACTTTTAATTGAATTGGTGGCAACCTCTTGAATAAGAAATCAAAAACATCAAATCAGCAAGGAGTTCATTAAATCTGCTGTTGATGTTATTCCTGCATTAGTTCCCATCTAATCCTTTGACAAATTCCAACTATAAACTACTGGAGCAATATACTTTATGTCCATACTTTTTTTTTTTCAAGTTGGCCATACTGACTGTTTGTGAAGGAATACTTTTTTCTTTGAATATATGTAAACTGGTTTTTAATCATAAAAGAAATATTACATTCAGTTTTCTGAACAGTCTTACATGGCTGAGTTTCATATGCTATATTGCTCAACTTGCATTTCAATAAATAAATAGAATTTTTCAGCTTGCTAATTATGATAATAATCATTGAACACTAATGAGATTTCTTCTCATTCCCTTGTGAAAATCAATTTCCTAAAAAAAGATTATTCTTTCTTGTTTATCAGCTCTTTGTCATCAAAACAACAATAACAAAGTCATTATTCTGATTGTTTACTACAAATATGCATGGACTTAATGTTTCTGGATATTTGTCATTATTAATTATTAGGAAATTGAGAACAAAATATTTCACTTTTAATGATTTTACATTATGACTGCAGGAACTATTTAATTTTTTTAACCTTTTGAAAGGAAAATTAGATTTATATTTTTTGAAGAAACTATCACTGGCACAAGAGTCAATCAGTTGTAGCTTTTAAATCTCAGCAAACTATCGCAAGGACCAAAAACCAAACACCACATGTTCTCACTTATAGGTGGAAACTGAACAATGAGAACACATGGACACAGGAAGGGGAACATCACACACTGGGGACTGTTGTGGGGTGGAGGGAGGGGGGAGGGATAGCATTAGGAGATATACCTAATGTAAATGAGAAGTTAATGGGTGCAGCACACCAACATGGCACATGTATACATATGTAACAAACCTGCACATTGTGCACATATACCCTAAAACTTAAAAGTATAATAATAATAAAATTAAAAAAAAATCTCAGATCAGGCACTTACTAATTGTGGGACCTTGAGAAAGCACATAAACTTTCTGAACTTGTTTCCTTCCCTCTAAAATGCGTTTAATATTCTACCATGAAAAAATCACTGTGAGAGAAATAGTTCATGGAGATCAGTTACCTTAATGACAAGTGTATATGGAATTATGAGTAGAAGTATAAAATCTTGCTTTGTAGGACAATCTGCAACCATTATTATTTGTCAGCTTTTAAAATGCAATTTTCCTGTATTATTTCCATGGATGATTTGAAATAGGTGATTTTTGTTAGATTATTGTTAGATAATTTTTGTTTTTTTAATACATATATTCTGCAAAGAAAATGTGTGACAAGGTAAGCACTTTTAAACTTATTAAAATAATAATATTAATATTGATAATTATTGCTAAATTCATTTATTCTTTAAAATTAGGCATAATGCTCTGCAGAATTTGTAATATATTCAATTGCAGGCATATTTCAAATAATTGCATGGTAGGAAAATGGGAGTTGGCTCAGCTATACCTGATCTGTAGGTGCACATGCAAAATTCAGTGATAAGATTCAGATGCAAATTTGAGTGTTGCAGTGTTGGTGTATATTCCTTGGAAGATACCTCAATTAGAGGCAGTTTTATTTCCGCCAGTATTCTGCTTTACCAATATGCCCCCCCCCCCTCTTTTTTTCCATCATGGCTAATTTCTCAGAGATGAATTGACAGTCTTGACCTTTATTGTTTTCTTGATTATTTCTTGGATTCTTCCTACACAGTACATTCACTATTAAAGTAGTCTTCCTGATATATGAACAGTTCTTGAGATAAATACACACTGTACATTTTTATGGATGGAAACATTAGGTTTGGTTTTGTAAATATTTATCATTTCCTCCTATGTACCAGGCATTTTGCTAAGCACCAAGAACACTAAAATAAAATGTGTGCCTATAAACTTTGCCTTGCTGAGTGAGTGACTCTTTCTTATAGACTCAACTTCCATTTTATACTGAAAATAGAAAGATGCACATAAGTGGCAAGCTTAAATTTACCCATCTACTTAGCTAGCAGAGCTAGGAAGACATCAATTATATCCTGACTTTCATTCAAATTATAACATTCTGTCTCCACATTACTAATTATGGAGGGGTAAAGTACATAGACTGCATTTTCTTTTAATACTACCAAATCTCTATGGAATTTCTTTTTTAAGTGAGGTTAGAGACAGGAATGTCAATGGGTTAATGAAAGGGGAAACTATTGCATGTTTTGTTTCAAATGCACTTTGGGTATAAAATACTGAATGATATTTGAGTCTAGAACTTGACTCTATGCTTGCAATAGACTGTTAAGATAAGAAATGTTGATTATCTGGTTAATTTGTCAATGTGGACAGCCAGTCAAGCCCCAACATGAACCTTCTTTAGTGTGTATAATCTAAGCTAAATGAAGACATAGTCTAAATTGATTTGTTAATTGCTGACTTTTCCTTCAGTTTGGTGTCTACAGACTTCAGGTGAAAAACCGCAATAATTTCACTCTAAGGCATGGCTTGTCTTCCCCCTTCTCCAAACCAATCTTTCAAATTTTAAAATTTATTAAAAAAATTGCCCTTTCAGAGGAAGAAGTGTTTAGTATATAATAACAAACACTATTTGTTAAACAACCACTTTGTGCTAAGACTGCTTAAATAAATTTACTTGTATTAATCCATTTAATTATGTTAGATAGTTACTAAAATCATCGCCTCTTAAACATCAGGATATTAGATATGTTAAATAAATTAACTAAGGTTATATATCTAAGAAGTAGTAAATGGAGGAGCCAAGATGGCTGAATAGGAACAGCTCCAGTCTACAGCTACCAGCGTGAGCTCAGCAGAAGACTGGTGATTTCTGCATTTCCATCTGAGGTACTGGTTTCATCTCACTAGGGAGTGCCAGACAGTGGGCGCAGGTCAGTGGGTGTGTGCACCGTGGGCGATCCGAAGCAGGGTGAGGCATTGCTTCACTTGGGAAGCGCAAGGGGTCAGGGAGTTCCCTTTCCGAGTCAAAGAAAGGGGTGACAGGCACCTGGAAAATCGGGTCACTCCCACCCGAATACTGCGCTTTTCCGATCGGCTTAAAAAATGGCGCACCACGAGATTATATCCCGCACCTGGCTCGGAGGGTCCTACGCCCACGGAATCTTGCTGATTGCTAGCACAGCAGTCTGAGATCAAACTGCAAGGCCGCAGCAAGGCTGGGGGAGGGGCGCCCGCCATTGCCCAGGCTTGCTTAGGTAAACAAAGCAGCCTGGAAGCTCCAACTGGGTGGAGCCCACCACAGCTCAAGGAGGCCTGCTTGCCTCTGTAGGCTCCATCTCTGGGGGCAGGGAACAGACAAACAAAAAGACAGCAGTAACCTCTGCAGACTTAAATGTCCCTGTCTGACAGCTTTGAAGAGAGCAGTGGTTCTCCCAGCACGCAGCTGGAGATCTGAGAAGGGGCAGACTGCCTCCTCAAGTGGGTCCCTGACCCTTGACCCCTGAGCTGCCTAACTGGGAGGCACCCCCAGCAGGGGCAGACTGACACCTCACATGGGCTGGTACTCCAACAGACCTGCAGCTGAGGGTCCTGTCTGTTAGAAGGAAAACTAACAAACAGAAGGGACATCCACACCAAAAACCCATCTGTACATCACCATCATCAAAGACCAAAAGTAGATAAAACCACAAAGATGGGGAAAAAACAGAACAGAAAAACTGGAAACTCTAAAAAGCAGAGCGCCTCTCCTTCTCAAAAGGAACGCAGTTCCTCACCAGCAACGGAACAAAGCTGGATGGAGAATGACTTTGATGAGCTGAGAGAAGAAGGCTTCAGACGATCAAATTACTCCGAGCTATGGGAGGACATTCAAACCAAAGGCAAAGAAGTTGAAAACTTTTTAAAAAATTTAGAAGAATGTATAATTAGAATAACCAATACAGAGAAGTGCTTAAAGGAGCTGATGGAGCTGAAAACCAAGGCTCGAGAACTACGTGAAGAATGCAGAAGCCTCAGGAGCCGATGCGATCAACTGGAAGAAAGGGTATTAGCAATGGAAGATGAAATGAATGAAATGAAGCTAGAAGGGAAGTTTAGAGAAAAAAGAATAAAAAGAAATGAGCAAAGCCTCCAAGAAATATGGGACTATGAGAAAAGACCAAATCTACATCTGATTGGTGTACCTGAAAGTGACGGGGAGAATGGAACCAAGTTGGAAAACACTCTGCAGGATATTATCCATGAGAACTTCCCCAATCTAGAAAGGCAGGCCAACGTTCAGATTCAGGAAATACAGAGAACCCCACAAAGATACTCCTCGAGAAGAGCAACTCCAAGACACATAATTGTCAGATTCACCGAAGTTGAAATGAAGGAAAAAATGTTAAGGGCAGCCAGAGAGAAAGGTCGGGTTACCCTCAAAGGGAAGCCCATCAGACTAACAGCGGATCTCTTGGCAGAAACCCTACAAGCCAGAAGAGAGTGGGGGCCAATATTCAACATTCTTAAAGAAAAGAATTTTCAACCCAGAATTTCATATCCAGGCAAACTAAGCTTCATAAGTGAAGGAGAAATAAAATACTTTACAGACAAGCAAATGCTGAGAGATTTTGTCACCACCCGGCCTGCCCTAAAAGAGCTCCTGAAGGAAGTGCTAAATATGGAAAGGAAAAACTGGTACCAGCCGCTGCAAAATCATGCCAAAATGTAAAGACCATCGAGACTAGGAAGAAACTGCATCAACTAACGAGCAAAATAACCAGCTAACATCATAATGACAGGATCAAATTCACACATAACAATATTACCTTTAAATGTAAATGGACTAAATTCTCCAATTAAAAGACATAGACTGGCAAATTGGATAAACAGTCAAGACCCATCAGTGTGCTGTATTCAGGAAACCCATCTCATGTGCAGAGACACACATAGGCTCAAAATAAAAGGATGGAGGAAGATCTACCAAGCAAATGGAAAACAAAAAAAGGCAGGGGTTGCAATCCTAGTCTCTGATAAAACAGACTTTAAACCAACAAAGATCAAAAGAGACAAAGAAGGCCATTACATAATGGTAAAGGGATCAATTCAACAAGAAGAGCTAACTATCCTAAATATATATGCAACCAATACAAGAGCACCCAGATTCATAAAGCAAGTCCTGAGTGACCTACAAAGAGACTTAGACTCCCACACATTAATAGTGGGAGACTTTAACACCCCACTGTCAACATTAGACAGATCAACGAGACAGAAAGTCAACAAGGATACCCAGGAATTGAACTCAGCTCTGCCCCAAGCAGACCTAATAGACATCTACAGAACTCTCCACCCCAAATCAACAGAATATACATTTTTTTCAGCACCACACCACACCTATTCCAAAATTGACCACATACTTGGAAGTAAAGCTCTCCTCAGCAAATGTAAAAGAACTGAAATTATAACAAACTATCTCTCAGACCACAGTGCAATCAAACTAGAACTCAGGATTAAGAATCTCACTCAAAACCGCTCAACTACATGGAAACTGAACAACCTGCTCCTGAATGACTACTGGGTACATAACGAAATGAAGGCAGAAATAAAGATGTTCTTTGAAATCAACGAGAACAAAGACACAACATACCAGAATCTCTGGGATGCATTAAAAGCAGTGTGTAGAGGGAAATTTATAGCAGTAAATGCCCACAAGAGAAAGCAGGAAAGATCCAAAACTGACACCCTAACATCACAATTAAAAGAACTAGAAAAGCAAGAGCAAACACATTCAAAAGCTAGCAGAAGGCAAGAAATAACTAAAATCAGAGCAGAACTGAAGGAAATAGAGACACAAAAAGCCCTTCAAAAAATTAATGATTCCAGGAGCTGGTTTTTTGAAAGGATCAACAAAATTGATAGACCGCTAGCAAGACTAAGAGAAAAAAAGAGAGAAGAATCAAATAGACATAATAAAAAATGATAAAGGGGATATCATCACTGATCCCACAGAAATACAAACTACCATCAGAGAATACTACAAACACCTCTACGCAAATAAACTGGAAAATCTAGAAGAAATGGATAAATTCCTCAACACATACACTCTCCCAAGACTAAACCAGGAAGAAGTTGAATCTCTGAATAGACCAATAACAGGATCTGAAATTGTGGCAATAATCAATAGCTTACCCACCAAAAAGAGTCCAGGACCAGATGGATTCACAGCCGAATTCTACCAGAGGTACAAGGAGGAACTGGTACCATTCCTTCTGAAACTATTCCAATCAACAGAAAAAGAGGGCATCCTCCCTAACTCATTTTATGAGGCCAGCATCATTCTGATACCAAAGCCAGGCAGAGACACAACCAAAAAAGAGAATTTTAGACCAATATCCTTGATGAACATTGATGCAAAAATCCTCAATAAAATACTGGCAAAACGAATCCAGCAGCACATCAAAAAGCTTATCCACCATGATCAAGTGGGCTTCATCCCTGGGATGCAAGGCTGGTTCAATATACGCAAATCAATAAATGTAATCCAGCATATAAACAGAGCCAAAGACAAAAACCACATGATTATCTCAATAGATGCAGAAAAAGCCTTTGACAAAATTCAGCAACCCTTCATGCTAAAAACTCTCAATAAATTAGGTATTGATGGGATGTATTTCAAAATAATAAGAGCTATCTATGACAAACCCACAGCCAATATCATACTGAATGGGCAAAAACTGGAAGCATTCCCTTTGAAAACTGGCACAAGACAGGGATGCCCTCCCTCACCACTCCTATTCAACATAGTGTTGGAAGTTCTGGCCAGGGCAATTAGGCAGGAAAAGGAAATGAAGGGTATTCAGTTAGGAAAAGAGGAAGTCAAATTGTCCCTGTTTGCAGACGACATGATTGTATATCTAGAAAACCCCATTGTCTCAGCCCAACATCTTCTTAAGCTGATAAGCAACTTCAGCAAAGTCTCAGGATACAAAATCAATGTACAAAAATCACAAGCATTCTTATACACCAACAACAGACAAACAGAGAGCCAAATCATGAGTGAAATCCCATTCACAATTGCTTCAAAGACAATAAAATACCTAGGAATCCAACATACAAGGGATGTAAAGGACCTCTTCAAGGAGAACTACAAAGCACTGCTCAAGGAAATAAAAGAGGATACAAACAAATGGACGAACATTCTATGCTCATAGGTAGGAAGAATCAATATCGTGAAAATGGCCATACTGCCCAAGGTAATTTACAGATTCAATGCCATCCTCATCAAGCTACCAATGCCTTTCTTCACAGAATTGGAAAAAACTACTTTAAAGTTCATATGGAACCAAAAAAGAGCCCACATCACCAAGTCAATCCTAAGCCAAAAGAACAAAGCTGGAGGCATCACACTACCTGACTTCAAACTATACTACAAGGCTACAGTACCCAAAACAGCATGGTACTGGTACCAAAACAGAGATATAGATCAATGGAACAGAACAGAGCCCTCAGAAATAACGCTGCATATCTACAACTATCTGATCTTTGACAAACCTGAGAAAAACAAGCAATGGGGAAAGGATTCCCTATTTAATAAATGGTGCTGGGAAAACTGGCTAGCCATATGTAGAAAGCTGAAACTGGATCCCTTCCTTACACCTTATACAAAAATCAATTCAAGTTGGATTAAAGACTTAAACGTTAGACCTAAAACCATAAAAACCCTAGAAGAATACCTAGGCATTACCATTCAGGACATAGGCATGGGCAAGGACTTCATGACTAAAACACCAAAAGCAATGGCAACAAAAGCCAAAATTGACAAATGGGATCAAATTAAACTCAAGAGCTTCTGCACAGCAAAAGAAACTACCATCAGAGTGAACAGGCAACCTACAAAATGGGAGAAAATTTTCACAACCTACTCATCTGACAAAGGGCTGATATCCAGAATCTACAATGAACTCAAACAAATTTAGAAGAAAAAAACAAACAACCCCATCAAAAAGTGGGCAAAGGACATGAACAGACACTTCTCAAAAGAAGCCATTTATGCAGCCAAAAAACACATGTAAAAATGCTCATCATCACTGGCCATCAGAGAAATGCAAATCAAAACCACAATGAGATACCATCTCACACCAGTTAGAATGGCAATCATTAAAAAGTCAGGAAACAACAGGTGCTGGAGAGGATGTGGAGAAATAGGAACACTTTTACACTGTTGGTGGGACTGTAAACTAGTTCAACCATTGTGAAAGTCAGTGTGGCGATTCCTCAGGGATCTAGAACTAGAAATACCATTTGACGCAGCCATCCCATTACTGGGTATATACCCAAAGGACTATAAATCATGCTGCTATAAAGACACGTGCACATGTATGTTTATTGCGGCATTATTCACAATAGCAAAGACTTGGAACCAACCCAAATATCCAACAATGATAGACTGGATTAAGAAAATGTGGCACATATACACCACGGAATACTATGCAGCCATAAAAATGATGAGTTCATGTCCTTTGTAGGGACATGGATGAAATTGGAAATCATCATTCTCAGTAAACTATCGCAAGAACAAAAAACCAAACACTCACAGGTGGGAATTGAACAATTAGATCACATGGACACAGGAAGGGGAATATCACACTCTGGGGACTGTTGTGGGGTTGGGGGAGAGGGGAGGGATAGCATTGGGAGATATACCTAATGCTAGATGACGAGTTAGTGGGTGCAACACACCAGCATGGCACATGTATACATATGTAACTAACCTGCACAATGTGCACAAGTACCCTAAAACTTAAAGTATAATAAAAAAAAGAAAAAAAGAAGAAGAAAAAAAAAGTAGTAAACCTAGTATATAAAAATTTTTATTAAGCTTGTCAGATGTCTCTATTTAAAATGGGTGACTAAAGCTCAGTATGAAATCTTGTATAAATAATAAAAGCCACTATGATTAATATCCATACTTGATATTATAATATTTAACATGAAGATGTCAAATATTTTTTAAATCTTGAAATGTTTGGAATGTGGTATCAAATTATTACTGTATGCAGCAGTAACATTTGTCCAGAAAGACAAATGATGACTTTGAGAAAGTAAATCTATAGTTTGAGTTCATGAGGTATAAAGTACAGCTAAGACCTCAGTAGTAATGTTCTGAATAGAAGCAGTACAAGAATTAATATGTACTACATATGATTTGTAGGCAATAATTGATAACTCAAATTTAATATTTTTTAGAGTTCTAAAGAGAGATTCTTACCAATATCTAGTTGTGTTCATATCATAACTAAAGTAAACAATTTTTTTTTTCTATTTTAAAGAATGGTAGACCTGCTGTCCCTATATTGATATTCTGTACTTGTATAGTAACATGTTTTATAGTCAGATGATTAGGCCAGATATCAAAGCCTTCAGTCTTTTTCCACTACAAATTCTGCTACATACAGAAACACAGATATATTAATAAATGATACCTTAGAGTCTCACTCCTTAATCTAAATAGCTCGGTGATTCTTCATTCCTACAGAATAAAATTGTCTCCCAAACTAAATTTCCAGCTTCATTCTCATTATTCCCTTTTATTTCTAAGATCTAATCAAATTGGATAAGGGAGTGCTCTTTAAAAAATTACCACGACTTTCTACTCCTATGCCTTGGGATTCCACATGATTTCTTCCAAACAGATAGAGGTGTATACCCTTATCTTTTGAATACAAGTTGCAAATACCTTGTCCTTCAAGACCCAATGCATGAAAACAATGTCCCATATTTCTAGTTTCTCAGCTAAAATAGAGTATGTTTTTTGCTCTGATTTTAATTATATTTTATTGGGTTCTTTCCCAGGTGCTATTACATTCTGTTGGGTCTCTTGTAATTTTTCTGTGTGCTTTATCCCCTCACAGGATGCTGCAGTGATTTAGGGCAGAGACACTATCTTATAAATCTTTGTATACTCCACACTACCTTGTTTATAATCTTTCTAAGATAAGGATTTTAAAATGATAAATATAGACTAACATAGACTAGCATGTGCACTTTTATTGATATAGCTAAGCGTCAGATAAGTTAAGTAATTTGTCTTAAGATCATGGGAAAGAGGATTTACACCACATCTCTAATACCAAAACAGAAACCAAGAAACTTCTATTTCTCTGGATATAATTATACTATTCACAAAGCTCTGAACTCTAGCATTTGAAGGGTAGAGTGAACTCTGGCTTCATCTGGGCTGGTATGGTTATCTAAGCAGTAAATAGCTAGAGGTAGAGAGATGGGGGAAAACAACAGGAGTTTCCAGGATGGTGGTGATACTCAGAATCCTTTGGATGACATTTTTGTTATTGGCAGCTCTTTCAGTTTTGGGCACAGTGCCTGTAATAAGATAGGAAGGATTCAGGAAGAACTGGACAGGGTACTGGGGTCTCAGCCAAGCAGCTGAGCTTTAAGGCAGACTCCTAATAACATGTTAGGCTCTTTTCTTTCTTGGGCCTTGTCCTCACTTTATTTTGCCTAGGCCTCCTCATTTTTCTCCCCATCTCACACCTACCCTCTAACCCCACAATCAGCCTGCTTTTCTCAGGATTCAGTTTTGAGTTCTGCATAGAAACCTACATATTGATCCGTGACATGTTCTTAGCACCAATTTCCACCACAAAAACTTATTTATTTATTTGCATAATTTTGAACGATTTTTCCCAAATGGAATATAACCTTGTCAAGGGCAAGGAATTTGTCCTGAACACTCCTATACACCCAAGAGCCTAACAAACCACTAGACTATAGGAATCATGTAATAAATATTTGTTAGATGCCTTGAAAGGAAGAAATAAAAAACTGAAGACATGAACTGATTCATAAAAGATGAAGGTGGGCTTTATCCTGCTGGGTAACTGTTACTCAAAATGATGTTCCAGTTTATTACCATATTATTTAGGGTTATGTTAGGGGAAAAAATGAACTCCTACATCCGTGTTTGCTGTGGATATATTTCCTCTCATATATGCTTAGGTTTAAGTCAAATAGCCTGAGAGAGAGGAAGAGGCTTCAGCTGCAGGTTGACATTGCTGAGTGCCACTATGTTGATGCTACTGATGCTTACAAATCAAGTAGATTAGCAGGTTTTGCCTTGAACACAGAGAGAGCTGTCAGTTATTGTCAAAGGAGCAAAGGATGGAACCAGATTTGCCTCCTATAGGAAGGTGAGACTTCAATTGGCCATCCCAGCCCACAGAGAACCCTTCTTCCTCTGAAATGAGATCTAATTGCTTGCAGCAGCACTGATGCAGTTGAGGATATTTCCACATAAATATGTGTTATCCCTTCATTGAAAATGCATGTATACTTAGTGATTCGTGATTGTAAACTGGTTTATCTTTTTGGCATTTCTAGTGAAAGTGGTTTCTGAACAGACTAGGGATTCCAAACAGGAATGGATTGAGAAAGGTATTTGAAAGGAAATTCAAGAGAGAGCTTCTTAAAAGCAAAGACCAGTTGTCACCTTTCATCCCTAGGCCTTAGCTGAATTTGTGCAGCAAAGAAAATGTTTGTTGAATAAGCTGCCTTAATAGTCTCAAATGATACAATTTATAAGACAAAATTTATGTAAAAATAATGTTAAAATTTGATAAAATTAGGACATTTTAAATACTGAAATTAATTTGTTGAATTAGCTCATTGTAAAACAAAAACTCAGTAAGAAGGATAACATATAGTCATTGAGTTATTGACTAAAAATACCAGTGAAAGGACATCTTTAAGGTAAACTATTTCAAATCTAGAACCAGAATAGTGTGTATTACATGAGCACATCAACTGTGGTTTTTAAAATGTTCCCAAAACAGAGTAATAAATCCCTTATCCTCAGCATATTGAGTAGATTATTCCCATTGTATCCACTAGAAGACTGAGTGTATTGTTGTAGTATTACTTTGGAGGACTATTTTAATTTTTAAAGATTCATTATTTTTTAAAAATCTGTTCCTATCTCTTTTGCTTTATTGTGTCTAAAGAAACAAATAAAAAATCATTTAAAAAACTTGAGAGCTTTTATTAACACAACAGAAATTTTACATTTATTTACAAACGAATAACTATTATTTGCTAAATATAAATGCCACATTATAGACCCAGTTTTTTTCATAAGATTAAAAGCACCTATAAATGTAAAACTGGGGATGCATATGGCCAAAAATTATATTCTAATTACATCATCAAGTATTTCGGGCTTTTTATCGTTTTTAGGATCAGATGGCATCATGCAGACATGTCAGTTCTTTGCATAAAAAGGATTCCAAAATAGAAGGGAATTCTGAAGCAGCTTCCTAATCTGTGGGGTTAATATATTAAATATTCACATATCATATTTTGGACATAAGAAAATAGATCTAAGGCAGAAGGAAGACATAGAAAATGTCGTATGGATCAGAAGATGTCAACCTTTAGTCTTAAGTGTGCTAGTTTATGTGAATCCCCCTTGTGCTGGGGACTCCAAAGCTGTTCTGCCTGGCCTCCTTGCAGCCCATATTACTTCAGAGGTTGGTCTGGGGTGTGGGATGTGGGTTGTGGAGGGCTTTCAATGCAAAGCCAAGCAATTCACTGATTTTTCTCTTATCTATATTATTGACTTGTGATTTTTCTTCTTTTCTGAAGCATGTGAGAGCTATAATGCAGGGAACTCAGATTGTTTGGAAAGATTTAATAGGAGACCATTACTGTGTAGTCCCATTTTCTACTCAGCATTGCAAAGACTGTGGTAAACCCTGAGGTAAAAGTATTTTTTTTCTTTTGTAGCAGATCGTCAGAAAGACACAAAGTACGACAAAGATTTCAAGGAATATGACAAAAATTCTCAACACCAATTACTAGATTACTAACAAAGATTTTTCTAAAAATTGTTATTATTTACAACTATCTTTTACATGTTTTTCTCATTTACATCTCATGGAAGGCATGAGTGATGGCTGTTTAACCGCATTTTCAATTGAAGAGACTGGGGCTTATGGCTCCCAAGCATTTTGAATTTTTATCCACGCACTTTCCATTGTGCTACAGCTATAACTGAGTGTCTGAGGCACTATGCCAGTGGTTTCCAAATCATCTTCTCTAGAGCAGAGCAGGTCTGGGAAGAAGGTTTCACAGATGTGCAAGGATATGAGAAAAAAAGTACATTTGTGAGTTTCACATAATACCCTGTTCGTAAGAATTATTTACTTCATTCTGAAATTGTTCTTTCTATTTTTTGTGTTACAATATCCTTTTTTAAAAATCATATTATATGAAAGGCATTTTTATGAGTTTTTACTTGGATGCTCTCATGAATATAAAGACTTCTTAGCAGTTGCTATTTATTTTTTAATTGACTAGTTTCTGAAATATAAAATACAAGATCTTCTGTACCCAAATAATGTTTCCATAGATTATAAAATTGGCACCCTGCACTTCCCAAACCTCTTCTGAACTAATCAGTGTCGGGGAATGATCCAAGATCAAGAAACTAGAGGTCAAGTTGCTATGTGCTATGGAACAACCACAGAGCTATTACATGAAAAATAGCAAAAACAGTGCGTGCATATGGCACGTTCATATCTGTACAATAAAACAGAAGCATATGTGCACAGATATGCTAGAATGTACACAGAATACATCTTAAAGGAGACAGGCTGCTGCCAGAAATGTCGGATTGGGGGTCAAAGTGGGAGGGAGACGTGCTTCTTGCTTTTTTTCATATTTGGAATTTTGCACCATGAGCTTCATATAAAATGCTAAACAAATACATGTATAATTTTTAAAAGACCCCATAGTAGGGAGAAAGTAGGAATGAGAGTTACGTTACTGGCCTGAAATCAGAAGCAAGCAAACCAAGTTCCTACTGGAAAGAAATGAATACCACAGGAAGAATCACAGGGTGAGAAATTGTGGCTTTTCTCTTTTTATTAATGAAACTATGACTAAGCATCTACAATAAGATACAAACGACATTATATGCAAAGTGGATATGGAAAATACAACGTAGCCTAGATTACACAGTGAGGGGCCTACATTTCAGGAGGTACCATGCAAATGCATCCTCCTCAGACTGGGAGCTGATGCAGACATAGCCCTTGCCATTCTTGCCAATTGAGAGGAGACCCTCTATGTAGTTCTTCCCCTCTCTTCCCAATTTGCAATCACAAATAATATAAGCTGAGTCAAGACACACAGCTGCTAAAATGGAATAGTATTCGTGTTTCCCAGTGCCTCGGGATGTGGAAAAGGGAGAGGAGAGGGAGGGAGAGGATGAGATTATAAATAGAAAGTTTTCAAGTTCAATATTTTCTTCTATAAATTTTACTTCCATTTTTTAGGACCTGCTACAATTTGTCTGCGGTGTATGTGTGCTACCAGTCACCAAAAGTGTGCAAGAAAAAAATAATTCATCAGATAGTGTCAGCAATAGAAAATGATTCCTAATTCTTCAGCTTATTTAGAAGTGGGTGGGGGGCTGACTTCACATGTGATGTTATTTACATATAGTCTGCTTGCCTTTTATAAAATTGTTCTGCTGTATACGAATGAAAGGTGTCTTATAAAGTACATGGCATCTGCAGATTACTGTAGAATATTGTACTTCACAGGCATTCTGCAAAGCAGCTCATAGGGCTAGGAAAAATGTCTTATGATATATTTATCTCATCATGTGAGTGATATGAGCTCAGGTCTCCTGACACCCATATTAAAAATGACTCTCCATATAGTACAATTAGAGTAACATTTCTGATTAGACTTCAGAAAAATTTTTAAAAGGTTATATGTAGTTCTTTAATAACTGAATTTTTTTGTATGCGTAGCTTTTCTGAAAGAGCATTTTGTAAAATCCTTGCTTCCTTTCAATTTAAGTGGTTTCTTAGAATGTTTTGCTAGAAAATCAGATGTGATGATATCAGACTGAACAGTGTATTCTAATATGTGTCATTGTTATTCAAACAACTGAATTACTTTGCTTTAAACTGTATACCACCAAATGAATGGAATATTTTGCCTCTATGTTCCAATCAATTTATGTTCCTGGTCATTGAGAAGTCATTATGTAATGTTTAAGTCTGAACAGCCTATTTTCGTTTTTCATAATTTTAACTGCAGATATATCTGTAATTGCTTCATTTGATTTTTTATTAACACTTCAGCCTCTTTCCAGGATACATCCCAGACTTTGAGGTAAATTTCCCCAAATCCCATTTTTTTCTGTTTGTAACTTTTGGACAATGCAGGAATCCTGAGTATGTCCATTAAAAATGTGACTTGACATAGCTAGAGACTTTAGTGTGTTTTCTAAAAATGAACCATGCAGACATTAAGAATTAAAATAAGAGTTTGCTAATGTTTCCCTACATATTCTCTCCATCTTGAATACTTTTAATCGTTGAAATGTCAATATATGTGAATTTTAATTTGTACACTTTCTCATTACGATCATGTATTTATATGTGTAAATCAAAGTGTAGACTGGTTAAATTGGATACTGCATAAACTATAATTATCGTATATTATAAGTAGATGGATGAGTAGATTAACATACATATGCGGCCATGTTTTCCTTAACATCACTGCATTATATCTGTTTGAGTGAGTCTGACAAAAAGCTTGTTGTAATTGTGAAGGAAATAATTTGCATTTTTCTTCTTCAACAGCTATGTAATATAACAATTGTATGTACAGACTGCCATAATAACTGAATATAGATATTGAGAATCAAAGGTTGGACTTGATGAATATTTTCATTTAATAACCAGACAGCATTTGGGTAGGAATATTAATCATTGAAATCTGAGAAATTAATACTAATATTGAGTAGTTATAACAATATGGAACTTAGATTTCTAATGCAGTAAAAAGGTTTGCCTTTTTAAAAATGCTCTTTCATAACTATACACAGTTCATGTAATTAATTAAGTCTAAACACTGTCTCTTATTCATTTATGTTTGGACAAAATTTTTGTGTGTGTTTGTGTGGGTGTAAAAGCACTTTTCTCGTAGTATTAATTGTGTGCTGCCGAAAGCCTTCCTTAGCATGACATTCTTGGAACTCAGATTTGGAAGTGCACAAAAGAGCTGTATTTGTTGCCAATTCGAGAAATGTGTTTTCAAAACAAGGATAACATTTTATTTTTCTTCCTCCCCGGTTCTGCAGTAGTGTAAGTGTTAAAGCCTGAGAGGTTTAGAAAGCTGCAGTGAATGTGTTAAGACTGTTAATGAAGCTTCTGAATCTAAGGACAAAATTAGCTCTCACACCCACACTGCGCAAAGTACAGCAACTGTCTGATAGAATTGCATCATGACTTTTACCTGGGGACACGGGTGTTATATTCAGCTGAATTGATGAAATTGGGAAGACAGATGTGCCCAAAGGACATTTTCAGAAGCTTGTACCTACATAAATTGCTTGTGAAAAATCTCTAAAATTTGAATAAGAAACCAATGTAAAATGCTTTCTGCCTGTAAACTTCAGGTCATATGATATATATTATCTAGCATATTCTTTAAGAAAAGAGAACATTTGACTTTCTCTTGGTATCAAATAGCCTATATAATGTCAAACCCAATGAGTGTCTGTTTTCCCTTTTTTAAGATAAGTAGTGGGACTAGAGAGTTTAACGAAGTTTCCTAATTATTGTATGTTGTTTGCCAAAAAACATTAAATTCGGATTCTTCGTTCCAATGTGAATGGCACATAAAGTGATTCACAGCATTAAAAGATTGGATGATATAACTAGGTAGCAATTAAAATCACAAAATAAAAGCAATTATGTCAACAAACACCTCCGAACAAATTACCAAAATCTTTAGGTCTTTGGACATTGAGACCGGAGGATTCAATCCTAGCACCCTCCACATACAAAAGTCTTAGAGATACAGACTTTTAAAAATGGGCTATTGTATTTCACTTTTAAAGACACAAATATTAAGAAACAGTTTTACTTGTAGCTCTACATTGTAAACTCTTGACTATTTCTGGTTTAGGAAGGTGGCATATATGTAGATTTGATTTAGGTTTGCTGTTCTAAGAAACATGAAAAATACATATCTGAAGTCCAGAGATTTGTGATTGTCGATAGTTAAATGAGCATGTCAAAGTGGTAGACGTGTTATTCTTACCGTACTCCTTCATGTAATCAAGGAATACCAGATATTCTTGTAATTGTTCTTAGAAGTTTCAAACGGTATATCATAACTACACAGAAATCCTTTTAGCATCTTAGAAAATTCTAGAAACTAGGATTATGGCTCTGTAACTAAATGAAACAGTAAGTCATTTAAAGATGTTAATTAAATGACCTTTAAAACACTAAAAATCATCTGGAACTGACACTGCCAGCTCCACTTCTAACATATGGTTATTGACATTATCAAAAAAGGATGGGATCACCTTTGAAATTTATAAAACTATTAGTCCTGTCCACCAGAGGGCATAAATTTTCCACAGGAAAAGGACGGAATATAAAGGTGGAAAAATCAACGGTTGTAATAACTCACCTTTCTTTTGACTGGACATACGTTTAACTTTGTTTTTTAAGACATAATAATTTAGAATTGATTTGCATAGGCATACCAATAGTTTAATTTCATGGTGACCCCCAACTCTGATTTCCTGCAGAATTTATTGCTTCTTTCACTCCTTGGCAGTTCACATATATTACTATTTATTATCATGCACCTTCTTTTTATATGCTCTTTCTTCCTAATTATACTGTCCTTCAAGGACATAGTCTTTTACTTATGACTCTCTATTTCCATAGTAAAACACAATACCTTGTCCAATGTAGGTGATAAATTATTATTTGTCAATGAAGATATTAATGGTTTTGAAGTAATACAAATTATTGTAGCTATTGAAAAGTAAAATTACCATAGCAATTGACAGTTTACAGAACATTTTTACATCCATTATTTATTTTAGTCTCCAAACACCCTATTCTCTATTTATATATGTCTTAATTTTTTCTCCAGGTTTGTGGTAGTAAATAAATTACTGATAAAAAATGAATTTTTTATAAATGACTTTTCTAATAGGAAATATGTTTTTAGTCCTGAAAGCAAGACATTTAATGAATTTTCCTTTTAAATAAGACATCATGAGATTATTTAGTTTCCTTCTTACCACAGTAGCTTAGCTATATTTGGAATTCAAAATTTAAAATAATTTATTTTTAACTGGAAGGGAAAAAAATCCACATTACTCTTCTCTTTCTGTTGATACAAAAAATTAACTTTGATATCTATGAATTACCTAACTGGTGATCCTGTAATACATTTTCATATGTACAGACAGTCATTAGTAGAAAATTAATGCAAGCAATTTCTTGCCAAATTTCAAAGTTAGTAAATAGGGCTTGAGAAAGTAAGTAATCCTGAAGGATTCCACAACTAAATTATAATGGAAATAGTAAATTGGTAGCCAATTGAACGATTAAATCTGCCAGCTACCAACAATAATGTTTATTAAATCTATATTGCAAAATGGGTTGACATTATAAATATAAACCTTTCCAAAATCAGAATATTAACCATGTAGTACAACAGTTTCACCACCATCATGCAAAATGATAATGCTAATTTCTAATTATTTTTAATCTTCTCTTTTTTTCAGAGAATTCACAATTCACTCTGAAGTATTAACTCATTCAAATTAAAACAATTTACTTACTTTAATTCATCCCTTAGAACACATTTCAAGTTAACAGATCTAAAACACATAAATACATACGGAGCTTGTCTCTTTCTTTTTTTGAAATGAAGCTACTACATTTAGCAAATAAACTTGTCTAGCAGGATCCAGCAATAAATACCACTCAGCATCACAGAAGCTCTTGCCAATCATGACCAACACATTATGCAGTGCCTTATACCCAAGATCTCCAAAAATGTAGGTCAAAACCTAATAATTTTTGCTGCATATTTTCTCCTATCACAATATCTGAGATAAATATATTATTTGATTAATTATCCATAGGTAGGTTAAAATATTTCTGTTCTATCTAAGGATGCATCTAAGGCGGTTCAGTCACAGATTTCCACAGCAATTCACCAAATATAAATAACCAGAATGCTTAAATTTCAACAAAAAAATCTATTTAGTGTTTTGCTTTGCTGGATTTAGTCCTGCTTTAAATATATGTTTTTAAATTGCAAATTTGTTGTTAAGAATTGATTTTTGACTGGTATGCATAAAGATGACTTCTCTATGGTCAGTAATCAAAAAACAAATTATTGACTTCATCAATCTAATGAAGGAAATTGTATTCTATATAGATCTCTTTTCTTTGAGCAAATATTGAATAGTATTAAGTTACATAGCTCAAAATTTGCATATTAAAATGTATTACCATAGAAGATTAAAATGTTTTCCTTTAATTCTAAAGCCTTTTGACATGGAATAGTTTTCACCAAACTTTAAGATGTGATGAAACTCATTCAAGCCACTGTTTGTATGTTTCTGCCTCAACAATATTTATTTGTATGCAGCACTGTGGATATACTATTGTATAGACTCTTATAGGCCAATGAAGTGAAACTGCCCTTTTCTGTTGGTCACACTTTGTGCCCAAGAAGCTGAATTTGTTCAGAAGTATCTTTGTCTAATTCCACAAAGACATTATATCAACTGGAGAGATTATTGCTTTCATGCCTATACTTTACACACACAAGGTGTTTATTTTTTATTTAATTCCAATATATATGGAATAAATTGCCCAAACCTTAAATGCAGCTTAATTTTTTTGCAAATAAATATACTTCTATATATGTGCAGATCAAAGATAGTGCATCAACATCCCTTATGGCCTTTTTCAGTCAGTATTTCTTCTCCCAGATTTAACTGTTACTCCCTTTATCCCCATAGAAACGTTGACCTGTTCTTGAACTTCTTATAAATGGATGCATTATTGTGTGCGTGTTTTTAGTTCTCACAATATTTATAGAAGATTTTAGTTCACGTATCAATTTGAGATTATCATTATGTTGCAAAAAATACTTCAAATGTATATATTAATTTACGTATATGCATATATATATGTGTGGTTATGTTTATACACATATTATATATATATAATCAAACCAGTATTTTTGCCTTATTATCTAAAAGCTTCAGGATTTTGTGTTATGCTTGGTCATATTCTTAAAATAAAATTAGGAAACATAGAAATCCAGAATATTCTGTGAAAATTTTCTCATTAAATATCAAAGAGCTGTTATACTTGGCCTGATGAAAGAGTGAGCTATTCATACATTCACTACTGAAATTATTTGTTTCTTGATCCCTAGATCAGCGGCTTGCCTACTGGAATATACCTTCTCATGCAACAGTTCCTCTTTTAAACATTTTATTTTAATCTCTATAAATGAAATACAATGACAAAAACTCTAAGAATCCATTTTTACAATAATTAAATAATTTCCAATGCTGCAATTTATTTCATTGTTTGGAATGCCAAGGTCTCAAACATGCTTCTTTGTTCTTTGTTAAGATAATGCTTTGTGATGTGAGAGAAACAAATCCCAGCTTACAAGGTTACATGATTTCCCTCACTGTTCTGTCATCTCATAAGATAAAATAGGTCAATTTAATATTATTAATTATGCATAAATATTTACATCTCAGGAAAAGTCAATGTTCAAAAAATGCTGATTATTGAGCTCAAATGAACTATTTTTAAAATTTAAGATACAAATATATTGTTATTTGTTTCACAGCATTAGAATTTAATTTGATTAAGTTAGAGCTTCAAAATGAAGATATTAAAATAGGTACACATTTTTTCCAAAACTGTACCCCCAGAAAAATTAGAAAAAAAAAAAAACACAATAATTTTTAAAAAAGGTTTAAATTTGTGGAATTCACTCAACTTCAACCTACACAAATGTGCAACGTTTATAAATTTCTTACTGTCATATATCTTAAAGCCATCAGACAGTATTCAGCCACGATTCAGTAACTGCATTTATTTTAGTGTCTGTTAGTTGCTTTAAAATTGTGTAAACATTTGAGGAAAGATTTTCTTTTGCCAGAAAATTTGCATTAAAATTTTCATTTGTTTGATTTTACTGAGTAGGGTGTGGGTTTTGGAACAATCCTACCATAATTTTCCAAGTATATTTTTAAGATTCAAGTTTTTTTTTATTTATTTAAATATCTATATCTATATCTACCTCTCTACACACACACACACACACACACACACACACAACACTCCATGTTACAAGCCTATAAATCCTATATTTACCCCTTCAGTATGCTGATATTCTCTTCAGCTCTATTAAGTACTGAACAATAGGAATTTATTCGAAATTTTGAAGAACTTCAGAGAGAGTTAAGGCACAACTATCCTGCTATTGACTTGGCCATTCAATGTATTATCTCAATGACAAAACTAGTTTTCTATGAATCTATTGATTCATCGTTAAATTCTACAGAGCCATTAACTCAATATGGATACCAGGATTTTAATTATTTTTCAGAGCCCTTATCCCAATACCACCTGTGGAAATAGTATGGGTAGGAAAGAGCTTTGCAGTGTATGAAGACAGAGCAGTGTATATAGAAAGAGCTTTGCAGTGTATAAAGCAGACCCATGTTCTAGTTCGTCTCCACTTACATGCACACCTCTTAATATGTATTTTCTCAGTAATTTGATTCAACTCTCAGATCATTTGTACACATATTGATTTACCCTACCAAGTAAGATAGGCAACTACGTCTCCAAGGCTTTCTTCCTTACTACAATAATAGAAGGATATCCTTAGCAGGCAGAATAGGGTAGGAAAAAATTATTTTTATAGTCAGTTAAATCATTTGACAACGGACAACAGACACTGATGAAGTCCCTGTGCTCACAGACTTCACTTCAGTTCTCCATATAAACTGGTCCCAAGAGCCCAAATTAAGCTCTTTTACAGTACAAAGAGATGACTATAACACTTCCTTTGTCAATATATTTGGGCCAAAGTTACACGTGCCATAATTTATGGTAAAGGGCTCTAAGGGTTCATTTAGTTGTTAAATTAGGGATAGATCTGAGCTAAGTCTTAAAAATCAAGGCTCTGTCTAAATACGCTTCTTCTGAAGCTTACTTCTCTGAAGACCTGAGATGAATCTTCAGGTGAATAAGAATACAAGCTAATTTTATATGGTAGCAAAGAGACAACTTTTCCACTTATAATTTAACATAAGCTAGGGTAAAGTAGTGCCACTGGGATCCGGAGGCAGGTTGTTTGGATTCAAATTTCCACATTGTGCTTTCTGTCTGTGTGAGCCCATGCAATTTGCTTAGCCTCTGTAAGCTTCAATTTTTGCTTTTGAAAATGGACATGATGTGAAAAGAACCTACTTCATGAGATTGCTGGGATATTCAGTGAGTCATGCAAGTTAATTAGCACAGGACCTGGAACATAGCAAGCACTCAGTAAATATTAGCTATTATTTTTTCATTGCTATTTTTGCCTTTATTGTTATTATAAGGGTTTCTAACAATGTACAACACTTAACAAACATTTTAATACCCACTAGAAGTTTCCATTTTCAAGTGTCAGACAACTGAGTCAATTGAAATTCCTGAGGAATCAGCAGCCTCTGGACACGTTGACCATTCATCTCTGTAGATTCGCTAGGCTTTATCCCTGTATCAAGTCAGATCATCACAATGGTACACACAAGGACTATATTACTTTACCCCCGTTTTAAATGCTTTGACAGAGCTATGATCTGGCACCATGCCCTTGGCTTCTTATCAAAGGTCAGTGCAAGAAATGACCATATGAAGAATGTTTCTGCTCTTTTTGTAAAACTGCTATTGAAGATACTGTCCAGTTTTGTGTTTAATGTTCCTTAGACAAAGACTCTTGCTATAAATTCTTCTTAGAGCTAAATTTAATGATTTTGGTGTATCTCTTCTTTTGTTTTAAAGTACTTTGTCCTTTTGGGAAACAGAAAAGGCTTTAATAATAAATAGAAGATGCCTTTCACATGTGCCATTCTAGAAAATGTAACCAGCTACTGCTCTGTTTCCAAAACGAATACATTTATTCTTCTTTTCTTGTTTCAAACTTAAAGCATTATCACAATAGACAATATTTGCATGTGAAAAGATAATCTTCAAAGTAGGGAAAGAGTTGTGATACTGATGATAAAATTTCAGGGCACGGACTGTTTGGAGGGCACAGGATTTCATAGTTTCTATCAATTCACATCATATATGTCAGTGGTTGAAAAGTGGAAGACCTTTGACTGTTGTTCGGTTTGAACAGTATTTTAGAAGATCTTATGAGGGGCAGGTGCTACACTTAACCACAATACAAGCATTTGGGCACCTATTGTCATACTCAAGATCTTTTCCCTGCCGAATTCATCTCTGCAACCAGGGTCATGTTCAAAAGTGGTAGAATGTGACTTTAAGAGTCACTATTTCATTACTTTAGGCAGCAGAATCCCTTGGAAATTTACATAAAAGCTTGCAAAACTTGGAGCAAATATGTTCTGGAAAGCTAAAGGGAGCATGGGAAAAAAGGTTTATGCTTCTGTCCCTCAGTCATTTTGCTCACCTTCTAAAATAGAGTGGTTTTTTCTGTTCCTTTTTGTGTCACCATGGGATCTGATGATCACCCTCTGAAAGTATGGAAGCAGGAACAGAAATTTTTACATCACCAATTCTTTCTCAGAGGCTATTCTCTCCAACCTGGAATTGGGAAAGCTAGAGAACTTAGCTTTTCTCTATTAGTTTATAAAAATATATGTATTATATAGCCTGAAATATTGTTCTCATAATGAAGGGAGTGTGGTGAGTCTATGGGAAAAGTGAGTGGTTCTAAACTATGCTAGAGGCCAATAATGAGAAAATGATTATTCTGCCCATGAGAAAACACTGCCAGACATCAGGCAGAGCTGTCAGCAGGCAGGAACATCCAAAAGAAAATAACTTTTTCAGTATCAATTGACCATGCATTTTCTTCTCCCTCAAATTTCTCATAATTCGGCATATATGTGAATTATTTACCCACAAATCATGTTTATTAATAGATATCTAGGATAAAATACACTAATAATAGGACTCTTAGCCATCAGTAAATCTCAAAATCTATACATTAGCTAGATCTTAATTTAAAGCATGCTGTTTTGCTTTTTAACACTATCTACATAAAAACTGAAATAATAAACATGCATACTTTTGTTTGGATGCATTGGTCTTAGCATCATTTTTATTTATTTATTTATATTTATTATTATTATTATTATTATTTTTTTTGAAACGGAGTCTCGCTCTGTCACCCAGGCTGGAGTGCAGTGGCGCGATCTCGGCTCACTGCAAGCTCCGCCTCCCGGGTTCATGCCATTCTCTTGCCCCAGCCTCCCGAGTAACTGGGACTACAGCACCCGCCACCACCCCGGCTAATTTTTTGTATTTTGTTTAGTAGAAACGGGGTTTCACCGTGTTAGCCAGGATAGTCTTGATCTCCTGATCTCGTGATCCGCCCGCCTCGGCCTCCCAAAGTGCTGGGATTACAGGCGTGAGCCACCACGCCCGGCCGCATCATTTTTATTTTAAAGTTGGGACTTATCATCATATTTGGCCCTTTACTTTCTAAGACAAACACCTTATGCTGAGTTTTGGATCCTCACAAATCTCACAACAAAACAAGATGGCAGATGCATAATAGTCTATAGATTTGACCAAGTTTCAGAGTCTAAATGGTTTTTACAGACCTGATATCACAATAAATCCTCCAGCAGAAAACAGTCGTGGACATAAAAAGGAATAAAAGTTTCACAAATGTGACTATGTCCTTGTGGTATAGCATATTAGGCAAGCGTCTACTCAATCAGTGTAGGTACCAAAATATTTCTATTTGCCAGAGGATGCTAAGAAATTTTATGTGTTCTACGGTGTGAATTATTTTTTTTAAAGGCCTCTTTTTTAAACTTTAGCCGCTCATATATTATTTTACTCATCCAAAGTTTCATTAGAGAGAAGAATCTCTCTGACCTTCAGCTTTGAAATTGACAATCCCCACGTTAGAATCATCTCTTCATTGTTAAAATACCAATAGCTTATTGAAGTACCTCATAAAAAAGATAATATCAAGGGCATATGAATTAATTATGATAATAATTTTAAAAGATTAATAAAGTAATTTAAAATTAATGACATAATATGATTTTTAGTATTAAAATTTAAGCTAATAATTCCTTGTTGTGCTATGTGGTTGAGATAGGATGACAATGTTGCATCAATATGTGGTCCTACCGGTAAGAGACGTGTAAATTGACTAGACATTGAATAAAACTAATCTTTCTAATTCTAGATTTTAATTCAGTGTAATAAGTATATGTGAGCATGATGCGGCATGATTTGATTTCATCATCTAGTTTGCTATGAATTATCCATAGGAATGCATTTCTGAGGGTATGATTCTCCACTTGGAATGTTTACATCACTTATTAGGTAAACAGTAGCAAAAGACACAAGAATTTTTTCCAAGTTTACTTTGTTAATACTCACTATAAAAATCTAACAGAAGGCTTAAATTAATGTAATTACCAAAAATTAAAATAAAAAGAACTCCCTAACAGCAACTTCAAATATCAATGGGGAATAAATCCATTTATAGCAACTGCTATTTCCAAAGAGATAAAATGAATTTTAAGAGTGCATACTGGCTCTAAAACCTCAGGACATTATTAATAAATATTGTCTCTATCCTAAGGTTTATAGAGCTATGAGGCTAGTACAAAATATTATGTATTAAGAATTAATTTATTTTTCAACCATGATTCCTATAGGAGGAAGACTTATGAAATAGCTTCAACTGTGCATTTCCCCTTATCACATTTAATCCCAGAGGCACATTTTAACTAAATTTGACAGCAGGAAAGAAAGTCCAAAGCTAAACAGCACCATACATGTTTTTGAAACAGGTAGACAGCTAATGGCCCACATAGTTCATGTTAATAATCAAATGCTGGCTACCCTGTGGATTGCTACTGTGTGCTAATGAGGAGAACCTTGCTTTCTCTCAGGCAAGCGGCTATCAGGGAAGCTTCTAATACTTCTAAAAACTGGTGGATACACAGAGAGTGAACGCAATGGTTACTACCTGTCATTAGCTACAGATGCACATGTAAGTCATAGAAAATCTAATTGGTTGACTAAGAATAGGATTTATTTATTTTATCCCAATAAATCTCTTTTTGCAGCAAAGTTAAAGGTTAAAAGTATTTGAAGTGTTGAAATGCTTCTCCTATTCACCACCAGTAGATATTTCCAGACTCATTGCTTTTCTCCCCCAGGATTATTTTGTTGTTGCTGTTTTCTCTTCCTAAAGGAAGAGAGCAAATCATTTTCTTTGGATATCAAACCTTCAGTTCACTTCTTTTGGCCAAATGTGCCTTTTTGATGAGAACAAGCATTAGTTTCCTGCTATCTTGAGTATGACAGATGGCATCTCGTCAAGGAATACAGTGGCAGTAGCCACTAACCAGGGTGATGAGCTATTACACAACTGCAGTCAGTGATTTAATGAAAACCTACTTTTGTATTTCCATGGCTGAACTCATACATTAGCCCTCATGTTCTGTACAAACTTGAAAACTGATGGGAATTAATTCTTCATGAGTTATAGAATGATATATTTCTTTGCTATTCTCTTTGGTTATGTTACTCTCTCTCTTAAGATAATTTGTTTTAAAATGGAAAATGTGTAGGAAAGAAATTGGCTATAATTTGAATTTAGCTTGTATTATCTTATTTATTTATTTATTTTGAGATGGAGTCTCTCTCTGTCACCCAGGCTGGAGTGCAGTCGTGCGATCTCGACTCACTGCAACCTCCAGCTCCTGGGTTCAAGTGATTCTCCTGCCTCAGCCTCCCAAGTAGCTGGGACTAAGGCGCGTGCCACCACGCCTGGTAATTTTTTGTATTTTTAGTAGAGACGGAGTTTCACCGTGTTAGCCAGGATGGTCTCGATCTCCCGACCTCCTGATCTGCCCACCTCGGCCTCCCAAAGTGCTGGGGTTACAGGCGTGAGCCACCGCGCCCTGCCTGTACATATCTTTCATTCAATAATTATTTACTTTGCTTTACACTATCAAAAATATGCTACCTGCTCATTGCAAGTTATTATATATGTATTTTTATTAATGTACATATAGACCAGTATTGCTTTATGCACGTTTTTTTCTTATTAAAAAACCACACTGTTGCAATTTTCTGTTTTTTTTTAACAAAGGACAAAATAATAATTTTTTATATTAAAAATCAGTTCCTGGATATTAACAACTGATTTTCTTTCAAGGATAAACTGTGCTATTTAATAGTTACATTAAAAAAAAACCTTCATAATCTTAATTGTAACCTAAGGACAGTAATACCTAGCCCACTTAAATCTCCGGTTATTATGGAGATGAAACAAAGAAACATGTGTAAATAATCTGATAAATGCTCATTCTTGGATGTAAGTTATATCTATATTTTATTAATTCTGTTTCTTTAATGATACCTCTTACTCAATAAATAAAACTTTTATTTTCAGTAAACTTGTTTTCATTGTTTCTTACTGGTAAAACCCATGTCTCAAAGAGAGAAGTATAAATTTGAACTCTGGGGTGAAGCACATTGGAATTAAGGAGGGAGATTGTATAGTCAAATACTCATGGGATCCAAGAAAAACAAAGTAGATAAATAAATAGTTGTTGCATTCATTTTTCTAGTTATGATAAAACAGATATAAAATATTTCCACTTTCCATGTAATATCACTGTTTTAGTTTCTGAGGGCTGTTCTAACAATTACCATAACCTAATTACCTTAAAACAATATAAGTTTATTCTCACACAGTTCTGGAGGCTAGAAATCCAATATCAAAGTAGTTGGCAGGGCCATGCTTGCTCCAAAAATTTTAGGAGAGGATCTTTACTTGTGTCTTCTAGTTTCTGGCAGTCCCAAGAATTCCTTAGCTTGCAGATATGTCACTCCAATCTTTGTTTCCCTCATCATATGGCTGTGTTCTTCCAGGCCGAGTGAAGTGGCTATTCACAAGCACAATGACAGAACACTACAACCTTGAATTCTTGGTCTCAGGCGATCCTCCTGTCTCAGCCTCTTGAAAGTATTCTCCCCTCTAATAAGGACACAAGCCGTAATAGATTAAGGGTCCATCACACGTTAGTATGACATCATCTTGACGAATATATGTTATGACTCTTCCTAAATAAGGTCATATTCTTAAGTATCGGGGGTTAAAAGTTTAGCATATTGTTTTGGGTGACATAATTTAAATTAGAAAACCCAGTATAAGAAAAACAAAATTTGAAATTTGAAAGAGTAAAACTAAATAGCAAAGTATATGGTTTAAGCATAAAAAAAACTGGTAATAGTTAGAGTGTAGCAAATTGTTGAGGCTGTGCCTGACTTTTTAAGACAATTTTCAAAATAGCTACTACACAAGTACAAACAATTTTTGCCATGTTGGAATAAATATCCAATATTAAATCTTTTAATTTCCAAATAATGGAATGCAATTCAATTTTTTAAAAATATCAAGTAAACAAAAATTCAGTTCTGTGTAAAAACTTATCAAATATGATATAGCATTCAGTTTATCTATTTCATTTAATATCAGACTTTCTTTCTTTGGGAAAGCTGTAATTTTTGGATTTTGGAAATACTTTAACAACTAATATATTTCTTCTTAAATTATGAAATTTTGACACAGTAATTCATTATTTAGTGAAGATAATTATATATATATTTACGTACACATGCATACACACGCCTATGTGTATTATTAAAAGCACATCAAGAAGGAAGACATTTAAAAGAAAGAAGTAGTCACACATCTCACACATTGTCTTCTAACTGTATTCAGAAATAAATTACATGACATTAAGAAAAGTGTGCCAACAGTAATCCATATTAGTTTTTATAAGACTGCAATTTTAAAGTTCATTTGAAATAAAACAAGAGCAAAATAACATGAATCATATTTGTATCTCTCTGTCTTTTATTAATCTCTCTGGAAGTCAGTTTCACCATCTGTAAGTTTCCTTCAAATATTTCATGTCTATGCTTTAAAAATATACAACCAAATTTTCTCTGTTGACCATCTATATATATTAATATTTAAAAATGTATGTTTACTTTACAGTAATTTTCATTGTAGTATGTTATTCTTGGAATATATAAGTTGAGTTGTGATTAAATTGTGAAGCAGAATCACAGGTTAGCTGTAGAGGTATTCTAATCCTCTGCTTAGTATGCGGCTGAAATGAGAGATTGGCTGAGTGTTGTCTGTCAGTAACAAATATTTCATTGTTTTATTTTCACTGTGGCTTCCTCCAGCTTAAGTAAGCACACTGAATCTGCATTTTGGGTGCTTTTGTGAAATATTTGTTAAATAGGTTTTGCCTTTTGTTGTCAAATAGATTCAAAAAATATATTCTGCTGGTCTTTAAAGGCTCTTGGCTTTATTTTTAATAAAGTATATTTCCTTGTAATTTAATTAATTTAATTTTGAACATATATGCCAAAAATGTTGTTTGAGATACATGTACTTAAATATGGAAGTGAGAGACACTTCCATATTTAAATGTTAACATAGTGAACTGAGTTGACATATACTAGCTCCCAATCCATTTATGTAGAAATATGAGATAAAATATAGCAACTATAACAAAAGCGCGTACATGCAGCTAATCTCAAAAGAAAGTAAGAGAAACACCCAGCTGTCAAAACAGGATGCGAAGGGCACAGTGGTTCCAGGGGTCTAGATGTGTATTCCACTAAAATATAGTGGCTAAAGACCATGAGTTGGGGTTTCAAAGTCCATACAGAAATAGGTGGTAGAGCTTTGAGCCAGTGTAAAATGGGTAGATGAAACTGAGATTTCTGAGTAAACTTGGAGTACCATGGAGATGTGGCAAGAAATACACTGTGGTCATAATGAAGCTTGTCTACATTTCTGGAATTCTCAGTGGTGTTTGCTTTTTTTGGGGGGATGGGGGGTGGTGGTGAGGGTGACAAAAATGAAATTCTCCTTGATATGTAATAATCAAAACAACATTAAGCATGGATGTTGTTCTTTGAACTTGTATAATGCACTAGGCACAAGAAGCACACACTAAATTATCAACATAGCACCTCATGAGGACCTGATGAACTCCCTAGGGACCTGACAGATATATTTTGTGAAGAAATGCCATGACCCTATTTGAGTGAAACTCTTATGGGAGAAAAAATGTCACATAAAGACTTACAATAATAATGTGTAGACTATATAAGGGAAGTAGCCATTTCGGTCTGTTTTGTGCTGCTACAATGAAATACCTGACACTGGATAATTTATAAGGAAAAAAAATTATTTTCTCATGGTTATGGAGGCTGGGAAGTCCAAGATCAAGGCATCAGCTTCCAAGTCTCTGCTTCCAAGGTAGTACTTTGAATGCATTATCCTTCACAGAGGAGGAACACTGTTTCTCACAGGGCAGAAGAAGAAAAGAGACCAATTTACTCCCTCAAACCTTTTTTATAGTGGGATTTATCCATTCATGAGGGCAGAGCCCTTATGATTTAAACACTTCCCATTAGGCCCCATCTCACAACACTATTGCATTGAGGATTAGATTCCCGACTCAAGAATTCCGGGGTACATATTCATGCTATAGCAGTAGCCAAATAAAACATACCAAATAATTATTAGCATAGCATGAATATTTGATAACAGAGCAATATGAAAGAGACTATAGAATAAGAAGGTTTGACATTAAAATGGATAAAAGAAAGGAAAAACATCATATTGAAAGGAGATGTAGATATCCATGCTAAATTTTAAACTATGGGTTAAGTGGTAGTTTACAGAACATGTTCAAATTTATAAATTGAAAGACAGTGGGTGTGGCAAGTGCCTGTAGTCCCAGCTAATTGAGAGGCTGCAGTGGGAGGATCACTAGCCCCAGAGGCGGAGGTTGCAGTGAGCCATGATCCCGCCACTGCACTCCAGCCTGGGCAACAGAGTGAGACCCTGTCTCAGAAAAAAAAAAAAGAAAAAAAGAAAAAAATATATATATAGTCACATAGGTGCAGCATTAAAAAATAAATGGGGGGTTGATGTAACAGGGAGAAAAAGTCATATGAATACAGAATGAAGCAGTACAACCTAGACCTAGCAGGAGATCTGGAAAAGGAGGAAAGATTATCAGAGAAAGGCAATATTCAAGATAATGGCAGATGCAGTAACAGAATTGGACAAACAGAAAAAATATATGAATCCTAAGTTTGAAGAGGCACACTTCGTCCTAAACAGAATAAGTAAAAACAAATTCTGAACCTAGAGCCATCTTAGTAAAATTGCCAAAAACCAAACAGAAAAAAAATTAATAGCAACCAAATATAAAAGATAGATTACCTACAAAGAAACAAGGTCCAAACTAATAGTACATTTCTTATCATTAAAGGACAAAAGATAACATAGTACCTTCAGAATCTTTAGGGATTCACTTCACATATGAATATTTTTAAAAAGTTAAAAATTGAAATAAAGAAAATACACTTGCTTTATTAGAATTTTAAAACTGTGACTTAGATCACTCAGAAAATGCTATTAATAATGAAATGATATTGAGTTGGATAGACCATTGTAGAATGATGCAGAGTGCTAATTTAGCAAGTAAGGTCATTGACTGTAAGTTTCCATTAAAATATCCAATATTACGTTCCTTTTCTAATAATGTGATATGATTTAATATTTTATTTCATTCACCCTGATGAATAATGTAATTTACTTATTAATGTGACAACGTTCGGGCTCTTAACTTGAGATTACAGGATTAAATTGTGAATTTTTCAGATAGCTTGGTTTATAAGACAGAGAAGTTTAAAGGAGCAACTTCATATGCTTTGTTTTGCTTTTTAGCAGCTTTAAGATTAAAGGCAAATCAAAAGGTAAAAAAGAAAAATTAGACTAAGAACATGATATAAGGTCAGATTTTGTATTAGAAGTTCTGATAATAAATCAATGCTAACTGTCATTTATTTAGCACCTAATTTTTTAACCTCTTGAATTCATTTAATCATTTATTTTTATGTTAATCAAAGTCACAATGAAATACCATCTCAACACCAGTCCGAATGGCTATTAAAAAGTCAAAAAGTAACAGATGCTAGCAAGATTGCCTAGAAAAGGAATGCTTATAGACTGTTGGTAGGAGTATAAATTAGCTCATCCACTGTGGAAAGCTGTGTGGCAATTCTTCAAAGAGCTAAAACCAGAACTACCGTTCGACTTAACAATTCCATTACTCGGTGCATACCCAGTGGAATATAAATCTTTCTACCATAAAGACACATGCACGTGTATATTCATTACAATGCTATTCACAATAGCAAACACAGGGAATCAACCTAAATGCCCATCAATGGCAGATCGGATAAAGAAAATGTGGTACATATAAACCATGGAATACTATGCAGCCATAAAAAAATGAGATCATGTCCTTTACAGGAACATGGATGTAGCTGTAGGCCATTATCCTTAGCAAACGTATGCAGGAACAGAAAACCAAGTACCATATGTTCTCACAACAAGAACACTTGGACATAAAGAGGGGAACAACAGACACTGTGGCCTACTTGAGAGTGGAGGGGGACAGGAGGAAGAGGATCAGAAAAAATACCTATTGGGTACTAGGCTTAGTATCTGCATCAGGAAATAATCTGTACACCAAACCCATGTGACATGAGCTGTTCTATTTAACAAACCTACACATGTACCCCTGAACCTAAATAAGAGTTTTAAAAAATCATTTATTCTTCTTCAGTCCCCTAAAGTAGGTATCATTAAAATCCCTCCTTTACAGATAGGAGCCAAAGGTGAAAATTAATCCGTAGAAAATTACCTCATGTTTATATAACTAAAATGATTAATACAACAATTCTCAGGAAGAGAACATTTGGCCCCCAGGGGAACATTTGGCAATGTCTGGAGACAAGTTTTATTGTCATAATTGAGGACCAGGGTGCTACTGGCATTTAGTGGTTGGAGGTCACAAATGCTGTTAAACATCCTACAAAGGTTTTCCCACAGCAAAGAATCATCTGGTCCCTGATGTCAACAGTACCTCAACTGAGATACTTTGCTCTAGAACGTTTAAAGCAAATACTGATCAAGTCAACTAATTAAGTTTTTGTTTTCTCTGTTTAGTAGAGCATAAACCTAAAATATGAACCTCTCTTTTCTACAGTATTCTCTGTGGTTTAAAACTGATTGGCATCTCATAGATTTCGGGTAGTTTTCACGTAACGCAAGCTACAGTATGAAAGTTTTCTCTCTGCAGGCAATCTTCATAGTCTGATTTCTGTAGCTGCCGGTGGTTGTCCCCTGACATCAGTTTGGTTCACGGAGACAATCTTGACAAGGTAGCAGATGCACAACAGGCCAACAGACTTTCACTTTGCTCTCTCCAATTTCAGAATTCTATACGCATTTATATTGAGACAAAAATAATAAAGTATATTGACATACTTCCCTTTAAGTATTAATGCCTTGTCTTTTCCAATGTCAGCAATCCCTTAGTAATGTAGCTTGGTCTAGTGCTGATAAAGCTTTTATTTTGTTTTCTGTAACTTCCTTTTGGGGTCTAGCTCATTTATTTTTAATTCATAATACTTTCCAGGATTTTATCACATTGATTACTGCATTTCAGATACCAGTTATTGTGGTTTATATCTCTGAAAGGAAGTACACTGAAAATGAAAATAAAATTTCCTATAGTGGTGATTTATTTCTGTTAGATTTTTTTTTAAATTCTACCAGTATCCACTATAATATTTTTCTAATTTAGGAATTTCCTGTATAAGTTGTAAGATGATAAGACATGACTTTTAAGTGAAAGAATAATTAGATTAAAAATAAAAACTATATTGTTTTAAATGTACTCATAATAGATATATACATATATATATATATATATATATATATTTTTTTTTTTTTTTTTTTTTTTTTTTTTTTTTTTTTTTTTTTTTTTTTTGCGAGAGAGAGAAAGAAAGAGAGAGAGAGAGTGTCTTGCTCTGTTGCCCAGGCTGGAATGCAGTGGTGGGATCTCGGTTCACTGCAACCTCTGCCTCCCAGGTTTAAGCAATTCTCCTGCCTCAGCCTTCCAAGTAGCTAGGACTACAGGGATGCACCACTGTGTCTAATTTATTCATTTATTTATTTTTGTACTTTTAGTAGACATAGGGTTTCGTCATGTTGGCCAGGCTGGTCTCAAACTCCTGGTCTCAAGTGATCCACCTGCCTCATCCTCCCAAAGTGCTGGGATTACAAACATGAGCCACTGCACCCAAACACTTATTTTTATTTTAATTAGTATTATAGACAAGGCTTCTTTGGTTAAAATTCAGATAATGTTTTAAAGAATTATATGAGTTATTATGTTGTTCTCAATATCACTTTTCATGTTTTGCTAAAAATATTGAAACAGTATAATTTGATTTTATTAACTTTTCGTAAATTTGGCTTATACATCTCAAGTTCTGTTTTTCTAATCTGAACCATACTACATATGTGTCTTTGATCCATTAGTACATAAAGAATGTTGTTTTCATAATTAAGAGGAAAAGAAGCCTAAGGAGATACATTACAGATTAATAGGCACTAAATAAAATACAAACATCTTTAATTTTAGACCTCATTGTATGAATAGTATGCATTTTTGGATCAAATAATTTGTATTTCTGTTATATTTTTATGTTTATAGTATGGAATAGTGTCCTATATAATGCATGCATCCTAAATAGTATTTATTAGTTTGCAGAACTGAAATTGCTAACGTCATTTTTGCCCAAGCATAATAATGTTGCTCACATAGTATGTCCAGGGAGGCAAAACACCAAACATTTTGTAACAGATTATATCTAGGGTAACAAATGAAACATCAAATATTGGGTGTGTGAAAGCACCTTATTTATCTAAGGGTCAAAGTACATTTCAAATAACCAACAGTCCCAGTGTAAAATAAAAGTGTTCCATTGAGTTTATATAACCTCGAAAATAGTAGAAGAATATATTCAATGTTATAATAAGAAATCACTCATATATCCAGCTTTGCTTAATTCTTGTTGTTATCTGTTTACGGTAGCATGTCCTATTCTATTTTCCTCAAGATGTCATTTTAGGTGTTGTCATCTTGTTATCATGTCTTTGTCTTCCCATGCAAAACCTAGGGCATGGGTTTCAAACTCTACACTTGAACACATGTCTCATGCAGAGGAATGCTATTTAATTCACAGGCTGTAATGCTCCTCACAAGAAATCTACACCTTTGGTGAAAAGTGTTTCATTTTTACCTGTTGACAGCCTGATGACACAAAGTATTTGCTCATAACACCATGAGTTTGCCTGTGACTTTTCACCAGGCTCAAGAAATTATTAATAGAAATGTCCATGTTTAAAGTGTAAATAAATAAATATGCAAAACCAATGGAGAAAAATAGTAAATTGATTTCTGTGCTACATATGATATTTTCAGCTTTTTAAAGTATTTTTAAAAATTATTTTTCTTTATAAAGAAGTCTCTGTCTTCAAATAGAGCTTGTAAAAGGGCTCTCTCTGTGCCTAAACACTGAGATCCATTCTACTGAGGTGGGTATCCAGGGGGAGTCCTAATAAGAACAATCATTCAGAGAGCAGAAACTCTTGAATGGAATGGGAAATTCAAACTTGTTTGGTGAGAACTAATCCTGAAGAAAATAGATAAAACCACTTGCATATCCAGATACTTTTAGAAACAAATAAAACTGAATATTGGTTCCCAGAAGAACTGTTTTCATTATTCTTTTATTGTGGTGTTTTGCCTCTGTCTGAGTTTGTCCATGTCCATGGATATGTCTTACTCATTTTAACATTTTGGAAAAATTGGACAAAACTGTTTTCTTTTTTTCCGTCAGTCTTTTTCACTCCTCTAACATCCTAGAGCTCCCATCTTCTTGGAAAATTATTTATAATTGTTGTGTTCATTTCCTCACTTGTCACTCAGTCTAGGACTGAATGCAATCTCTACCTGGACTCATTCCACTGAAAACATCTCACCAAAGTCATCAAACATTTTCTCATGGCTAAATTCAAAGGAAATCCCTAAGACTTCCCTTAAATGGGACCTATTTGGTAGCATTTAATTCTGCAATATATATGCATTTTTCTTGAAACCCACTGTCTCTTTAACATCTTTGTCCAGGCATTTTCTTAGTAACCCTGCAACCTGTCTGAACACTTTTTTTGGTTTCATGTGTAAGCTCCAATTTCCTTTGCTCTGTTATTATGGTGTTCCTCCAGATTGTGTCATAGCTGTCACCGCCTATCAACAGTTCAAATCACTTATGACCTATGCATCACACTGCCTACTTGACAGTTATGCTTGCACATATCATGATAACCTTAAATATATGTTCAAAACTAAACAAGACCCTTCTGTCTTCCTCCAGCACCTCTGTGTTACATCAAATTATCTCTGGATCCCATACTCACCACCAGAATATCCAATTACAAAATCATATCAATTCTATTTCCAATACATTTCTAGACTTAGTCTCCCTAAATATTTGTAGAAAACATCTCTCATCACGATGCTAAAACAGTGTCATACCTTGTTTTCTTTGCTCCAATATCATCCTCTATACTTTGGTATCTAGAAAAGTCACAGTGATCTTTCTGAAGTACAGATGTGATTAAGCCAGTCTTCAATTCTTCTTATAACAGCCTATATGGCAATAGGAGGATAATGGTAGTTGAGAGAATAACATTGTTGAGGGCACCTTACGAATCAATTAAGCAAAATTTCCAATATAGTGGCTAGTGTGCGGAAGACAAGCTATAATACTGGCTGTACTGCTATTAATAGACAATATATCTGTATTTATATTTTTCGTTAGCCTTCAGCACCAGGAGGACAGAGTCCATTTTATATGCTGCATCCATTATTGGGCCAATAAAGAAATTAGCACTCAAATATTTGCTCAATAAGTGGATAACTAGAAAAATATATACTTGTATAAAACCTTACTGTTTGCAAAGTGTTTCTATATTCTTTCTCTCTTTTAGAGGAATATGTGCTTACTACTCTTCCTAATAGTATATAGGAATACTGAAACTCAAAATGTTTAAATCATTTGTGCATAGTAACAGAATTGAGTGTCAAAATCAAGTCTGTTGGATTCTACGCCCAAAGCTCTTAGGCTGTTTCCACGTACTACCTTGCCTCTTCTTAATGATTGTATCAATTAAGTATACTCCTATTGAATTTTAACAAGGACTCTGCATGCCGTCTGAAAAAAGTACATCACCAAAATAGTAGTCTTTTGATCCACAACTCACCAGACATACTAGTGAATTAAAGGTGAGTAAAACCACACTTTCATTAAAAATGTACATATATATTCTATAACTAAACATGGCAATTTTTTTACATAATTTGTTCCTGCGTTATTTTAACTATAAACATAAAAATAGATCATCCACACATATTTTAAATGAGCATTATTCTATCCAGAAAGAGAAATGGGAGCTTTGTAAACTCTGTGTGAACAAATTGTTTTATATTCCTTGTGGTTGCATTCCAATTTACACTTGCAGATGTCTTCACTTAAAACCACATCGTGTGGGTATCTTCTCCCTATTGCAACTGTCCCAGCTTCCAAAGAAACTGGAGCATCAAATCTCGCCTTTGAAGTCAGCTGCAGTGTCATAGTCTCATTCTCCATTAATTAACTGAGTGCTCAGTTGATCTCAATGTGCTTTCTCCTGCCAGCTCTGCAAGGCCTTGCCCTCTGCAGCTGGTTCTGCACAGAACCAGAGTCTACAAAAAATTAAAAATCAAAGCTAAGGAGGTTTTAACTTTGCCTGATTTTTCTTACCTGGAAAAGAAGCAGACAGCACAGGCTGCTTTATGTTCCACATGAAATGGTAAAAATAGTATGAGCTGTAAAGCACACAAATGAAGTTTTGAATCATGGTTACCTGCTAGCTCTTACGTTGAAGAAGTTTTGTAACGTCGAGATCTTCAACATCCTTTTCCATAAAAGGAAAGAATTCCATTTCCATAAATTGTTTTGAGAATTAAATGAGTTAATGAACTTGATAGTGTCAAACATTACTCCTGACATGTAATACATATTCAGTGGAAATTAGTTTCTTTCTTTCTATTTGTTGAGATATCTTGAGTAAAATTTAATTTCTTCTCATCCTCACATTTGTGGCTTTTGAATATCAGTTAATTACTTTTCTAAAGTATGAAGTCAGCTGGGTGTGGTGGCTCACGCCTATAATCCCAGCACTTTGGGAGGCCGAGGCAGGCGGATCATGAGGTCAAGCGTCTGAGACCAGGATGGCCAACATGGCGAAACCCCGTTTCTGCTAAAAATACAAAAATTAGCCAGGCGCCCAGCTACTGGCGAGGCTGAGGCAGGAGAATCACTTGAACCTGGGAGGCGGAGGTTGCAGTGAGTTGAGATTGTGCCATTGCACTCCAACCTGGGCCACAGGAGCAAGACTCCATCAAAAAAAAAAAAAAAAAAAAGTGTGAATAGTGGATGTCTATCTTGAGAAGATTATCATTTAATTTTTTATCAGGAGCCATGATTTAAAAAAATCTATTTCTGCTATTCCTTTCAAATTTCCCCATTTAACAAATATGTATTTAGTGCCATCATGATCCAGGGATTGTTCCAGAAAATGAGTAAAATTCTTATATAAAAGAAACAGGGACTCTCCTCAAGCGACTTACATCTTCTCAGAAACAAATAAATGAATTATATTTTGAATCTATATTTAAACATGTTGGAAAATGATTTATGAAAACTTAGACCTCATGTTTGAAACATAAATGTTTATTATGGAATCAACCAAAGTGTAAGTAGGAATGATACACGATGTCCTCTTTTAACATACTCTGCCTCCCTAAATTCCCTCTTTCTCTTTAAATAACCTGTGATTTAAAGCTAAAAGAACATGGCAAATATTTCTCAGAGACTGAAAGAGATTTTCAGAGAAGTTTTAAGGCCTAAGTAAACAGTCTTCATTTCAAGTGTTTTGTGTATATTTAAGTGATTCTACAGCCTGTATTGTTTTTCTAGTGAAATATAATGATTTCAGGAATTGAAAAAAAAATTGATGACAAGAAAATGGTAATTCTACATCTGTTTTTACTTAAGAATGCTTATATTGGTCAGAAAACAGCAGGTATTCATAAAAGTGTTGACTGAGTTGAATAGTCTTTCATAAAAGTGTACCTTTTTTATATTAATATTTCTCTTAGGAAATATGATAAAGTATATTTCAAATAACACTATTTTTTTCCATTAACACAGTATAGATTAAATCTATAAACGTATGTATTTTTTCAAAATGTTCAATATTATATTATTGATAATAGTATCAGAAATGAAAAATAAATTTACTATAATCAATTTTGAAATGATTTTTCACAAAAAATTATATATGGCTAATTTGACGAAGATGTTGAAAGCCATTTTCAATTGTAAAAGTCTAATGGAAATGCTTACTGCCTACCCAGGCATGAACCCCCACCCTGCACATGGCCTACAATCTATTCATGTCCACATGCTTTGTTCCTGGGAAACTTAAACACTGAAAATATTGGATTTTTACTATGGCTTAAATATAATTATATGGTGGGTAGGTGGTGGCAGTAATTACACTATTTTATAGCTTTTAGTAGTTTAAATACAGTTGCAACAGAAAGTAAAAGTATAGAATAATTAATGACTAAAAGTTTTTCAGAGAAAGATTAGATCAATTTTTTTTTTAAATAAAATAGAATTAACATTGAAATGTCTCTTATTCTACCATTTTGTTTGTAATTTAGGTCACAGAATCTTAATGTGTCTTTTTTTTTCTTTTTTTCTTTCCTTTTTATTTGTTTTGCCTTTTTAACTAAAATTAAATGGGTTGGTGTGGGTTGACAGGAATTACACTGACATGGCTGAGAATTCTATCCTACAATTCTAAGATCTAAGGCTTCTAAAATACAAAGGGAGAATCATTGATGTCTCTCTCTTTATCTATATAAATATGTTAAACACACACATTTATTTATTCATTCATATTTATTATTTATTTATTTAGAGACAGATTCTCAGTGTTGCCCAGGCTGGAGTGCAGTGTCACAATCCCAGCTCACTGCAACCTCCACCTCCCGAGTTCAAGTAATTCTCATGCCTCAGCCTCCTGAGTAACTGGGATTACAGGTGCACACCACCATGCCAGGCTAATTTTTGTATTTTTAGTAGAGATGGAGTTTTGCTATGTTGGCCAGGCTGTAATCAAACTCCTGACCTCTGGTGATTGACCTACCTCAGCCTCCCAAAGTGTTGGGATTATAGGCATGAGCCACCATGCCCGGCCACACACACACACACACACACACACACACACACACCACACACACACACACATAAACTATATGTGTATTTATATAAATATATATGTATATATGAAGTTACCCTATAGGCTAAATTTAAATACAGTGCCAATCACTAGGTATTTTATTTCATTATAACTATTCTTTTCTGTTGACAATATATTGCAAGTCTTAATTTTATTTACAGATTTTGTTTGGCCTTATTTTTCTGTAATTCATACTGCTTCTTGTAATTGTGAATTAAAATTCTATTCTGAATAGTTAAAAGCTATTTCAAAACGTAACAATTTGAAGCCTCATGACTGCTAATTTAGCCACTAACCCAGGCCCTTCTGATCCCTCATACTATCAATTTACTTAAACAGCTAAACCTTAAACATAATATTAAGTTACACAGAAATGTCTTTGAAGCTTGGTAGATGAATCACTGTGATTATTGTTTTCAGTCGAAATACTTCTTTCCTTATCCCTGAAGAGAGAAATTGTCTTCTAGTTGTCATTTTAGCCAATTATTTAAAATTGTGAAAATATGACTTAGTCCTATTCTGTGGTTCTCTAGTAACAAGTAACTTGTCTCTTGTGATTTGTTAAGCTTTTGAAACCCTTAGTGTTTAATATGAATTCCTGTCTAACAGGCTCTGTATATCTTGTAGGTCAAAACTGTTGTGACCATGAAGCAAACAAACAACCTTAAGAGCTTTTAAACAATAAATAGGCTTATGACATATACATGGCTTCAAATTGTATTTTACAGGAAATGTATTAAAATTTGTCACTATAACTCTAATTTCATTTAAATACATAAATCTTTGCTCATATAAACTGGAATTAAATTTTAAATTTCCAATTTCATCTGCCAACATGCTTCATCTTTGCTGGATTTTCTGATGCTAATTGGAATGCTCTGAAGCCCACAGGACAGCCAATGACAACTTTTGGGCTATTTCCATGTTTCCAATTTGCGCTGGATAAAGCAGGATGGCCAAATTATGACAGAGTTTTCTCTTCCAAATCAATCAACTTTTAATACAAAGATTTCCTCAAGAGTCAAAGACTCTAAAAGAGAAAGGTTTAAATTTTGGATGTTGCAAGCTCAAATCACCAAGTGAAATTTGATCCTTGAACATCTAAATCAATGATTAAAATGTTTCATAGATAGACTGCACCTTGAAAATACTAAGTCTAGAGACAGCCTCTTCAGGAGACTTGTGTGGATACATAGACATCATTTGATTTAGTCTTATATCTAAACTGGTACAAAATATTCTTATATTCTATAATTTTATATAAACATAACCTCATTTTATAGGTTAAATCATGTCTTCCCTCAAAAAAAAAAAAAAAAAGTTATGTTGGAGACCTGAAACCCATTACCCTCAGAATGTGATCTTATTTGAATATAGGCTCTTTATAAAGGTAGTAAAGTTAAATAGAGGTTAAGAGGATTAGCCCTCATCCAGTATGACTGGTGTCATTATAAAATGTTACAATTTGGACACAGAAAAATAAATGTATAGGGAGATAACTGTATGAAGAAACACAGGGAGAAGATGACCATCTACAAGCTAAGGGAAGAGATACAGCTTTCAGAAGAAACCAATCCTAATTTAAATACATTTCTGTTCTTTAAGCCACTCAGTTTGTCCTACTTTTTGGAAGCAGCCCTAAAAAACAAATAACACAGGACGGGCATGGTGGCTTAAGCCTGTAATCCCAGCACTTTCGGAGGCCGAGGGAGGAAGATCACGAAGTCAGGAGTTTGAGACCAGCCTGGCCAACATGGTAAAACCCAGGCTCTACTAAACACATACACACACACAGACACACACACACACACACACACACACAATTAGCCGGGCATGGTGGTGCACACCTGTAATCCCAGCTACTTGAGAGGCTGAGGCAGAAGAATTGCTTGAACCCAGGGGGCGGAGGTTGCAGTGAGCCGAGATTGCACGGAGCCGAGATTGCACCACTGCACTCCAGCCTGGGCGACAGAACAAGACTCTGTCTCAGAAAACAAAACCAAAAACAAACAAAAAAACAAATACACATCATATTTATTATCCTAAAATTACCAAATTATGTGTGTGTATAAAGTAAGTATGTATTTATATATGGTAATATGATATGCTGAAGTATAATTCGTTATTTTAAACATATATAACATATGTTTCCATATATTTTACAACTAGTAATTTTACAATGAAAACATTTAAAATTTATTGTTCCTCTCATGACTATTTTTTTGAGACAACACATGACAATCTAAAAGTGACAGTCACTTTTAGATTGGCCTTTTTGAAAGAAAAATAAGAAGCATTTGAGAATAAGAGTTTTAGTTTTCCTGATTAGTAGCAAGTACCATGTCTCCTTAATCCTTAAAAACATGAAAATCAATTTTATTGGCTGCTGTTTAGGAGATAACTCATTTCTCAATTTTTCTGATTAAATTCATCTTGAGGATAATGTAGTTATTTTAAGACGTGGTAGAAATAAAGCCATTCCTAGTGAAGTTCTATTTCAGGTTCACATAAAAGAAATCCTACATTTTCAAAGAATCACTGGAAATTTTCATGATGCCTAGAGTCACAAGAGTCTCCTCATCACCTAGGAATATTTGGGCCATTAACCAGCAGTGTGAACTTGGAAACATCACCTAACCTTCATGTGTCTATTTTTTCTCAATTACACAATAGAAATGTTGAACTGGATGAGTCGCTTGTTCTCTTTTGAACTCTCATAGCACTTATCACCTCTACCATTAATATCACACTTTTTTTCTATTGTTAGTATGTTTCCGTTGTGAAATCTTGTTTAAACTCTTGTATGTTTTAAATTTTAAAATGTTTTAAAAGTACTTGAAAGGGCAGATACAGTTTAAATTTTTATTGCAATGCTCCAACAACACTGACACCACTGCTACATAGACATTTTACTTTTTTCTTTATTCCTTTCTACACTGCCCAGTGCATTTTCTAACATGAATAAAATGAATTGAGACAGAAAATAGAAAAATTTATCTGAATTTTTCATAGGCAATGTCTTTATAAATCCACCCTAACTTATTAACTGTTTAAAAACACTTCAAAAAAAATGTTTAGGCCAGGGGCAGTGGCTCATGCCTATAATTCCATCACTTTGGGAGGCTGAGGCAAGAGTGTGGCTTGAGGCCAGGGCAGTAAGTGCAGCCTGAGCAACATAGGGAGACTCCATCTCTCCAAAAAAAAAAAAAAAAAATAGCTCGGCACGGTGGTGTGTGTGCCTGTGGTTTCAGCTACTCAGGAGGCTGAGGTGGGAAGATTGTTTGAGCCTGTGAGTTTGAGGCTGCAGTGAGCCGTAATAACACTATTGCACTTCATTCTACATGACAGAGTCAGACCCTGTCTCAAAAATAATAACAATCACTTTTTTATTTAGAACGTTTATGGATATATAATAGCTGTGCATATTTATGGGGTACATGCAATGTTTTGAAATATGCATAAAATTTGTAATGATCAAATCAGGGTAATTTAGGGTATCCATCATATCAAACATTTTTCGTTTATGTTAGCTTCATTCCAATTCTACTCTTCATTGTTTTAAAATATGCCATAAAATTTTCTTTACCATAGTTGCCCTACTGTGCTATCAAACACTAGATCTTATTCTTTCTGTCTAACTGTATTTTTGTAAACGTTAACCATTCTTTCTTTATTCCTAACTCCCACTACCCTTCCCAGCCTCTGGTAACCACCATTCTACTCTCTATCTCAATTTATTCATTTTTTTTAGCTCCCACATATTAATGAGAACATGTGATATTTGTTTTTCTGTTCCTGACTTATTAGCCATATTTTACAACTAGTAATTCTAAAATGAAAGCATTTATAGTGTGTTGGTTTTCTCATGACTCTATTTTGTGACAACACATGAAAATCTAAAAGTGACTATTGTCACTAAAAGTGACAATAGTCACTTTTAGATTGGCCTTTTTGAGAGAAAAATAATAAGTATTTGAGAATAAGAGTTTTACTTATAAGAATATTCAGTATACTGATTTTCATCCTTTTGGGTACAGACCCAACATTGAGATTGCTGTATGACATGGTAGACCTATTATATTATTTGAGGAACCTCCATACTGTTCTCCATAATGGCTGTGATAATTTACATTCCCACTAAGAATGTATGAGGGTTCCCCTTTCTCCACATCCTCACCAGCATTCATTACGGCCTGTCTTTTGGATAAGAGCCATTTTAACTGGAGTGAGTGATTCTTCTTTCTGGAAATACTGTCTGAAGAATTGTCCCAGTGTATAAAACCCAGTTATCATTACAATTTTTATTTTAATTTTTAACAGTACTACAGTATCATTTGCACATAAATAAATCCTTTAGCAGTGGAGGAGAGCAGTACAAAAGGTCAACACCTTTGACAGTTTCTTATAAATTTCAATGAGTACCTACTATATGACCCTACCCAAGCCATAGTAAAAATTATTAAGGGATCAATTGAAAATAAATATCCTCACATCAGTCACAATATAAACCTATAGCTAATTTCTGTTTGTTGAGACAACGGCTGAGAAGGGATCAAAGTCCTAAACATTTGTGACTGCTTTCTCAGAAAATAATAACAGATATAAAACTAGTCAATAGTGGAATATTAGATGCAAGCTGAATTTTTACTGTTGGATCCTGAGAAATACAGGCTCCAAATTTCCAAATGAGAATAAATATTTTGTGTTGTCTAATGAGCTTAAGTCTTTAATGTAGGGAAAATTAAATATCCCAATTTAAAAATATAATGCATTAGAGGAATATATTAGGGAGATCAGAGCTTATTAAAAGAAAACCTGTGTGTAGGCTGACACAGAGGGATCCTTGAAAAATAGTGATGGCACAGATTCCTTCCTGGGGGCTTTGTAGGTTTGACCTTTGTAATGAAATAATATGGGAGAGAATTACTGAAATTCACTTAGGATGCAATCTGAGTTTATAATTTTAGGTCAGTTGTTGGACTTAGTTATATTTTCACTTTTGTATTATGTAAAAATGAAATATACATATATTTAAGTGAATAATCCACTTCCAAAATATCTAAAATTCCATGTAAAATATGTCCTCTGGAGTCCTTCTAAGCTAAATTCCATACATTTTAAGTTTTCTGTGTTATACAAGTTGTGAAAAATCAAATTAACTAGTCAAGCAAAGGCAGATAAAAGATCTACTGCTAGTTTGCAAGTAGATTGAAGATTTGACTCAAAAATCTGTGAACAAGGCTTTTTTTTATTCCCATTGCTTAAGAAAATGGTGCTACACAGTAGTTTGTTGATAAATATGTATGAATTACAGGATGAATTAATAATAGATTATTCTCATGGTCCCACCATACACATTCAACATTTTTAATTCTTTTTAAAATAAGTTTTGCTTCGTGTACAATAAGTTATTTGTAAACTTTAACTTTGATGTTATTTTGGCTTTTAGCACTTTTCATTGTCTCGTTAGACATTTATATTCCACCCTTGATATTAAATATAATGCTCCTGTGGGATTTAATCTTTGCATTGTACACAGAATAGTGTCTTACAGTAGAAAGAACTCAGTGTTTAAAGTGTTAATTATAAAAGAATGAATGGATAACTGTATGAATGAATAGAATGATTATGATATGTTGTAATAGTGATACATATAAAAGTAATAATCTTAATTACTAAAAAATCTACATCTTGTTTTTAATATTAGCGAGCCATGTAAATAATGAGGGTGATAGAATACCTTCAGGTAAGCATTTTAGAAAAAAAATGTTAGATAAGTAAAGTTTACATAATTTGATTACAAGTTAAATTTTATGTCTATATTATATGTAAATGCTTAGAAACAACTTTTTAGTGATAAAATTCACTTCTGTGCATGCAAATTGGGTAATTGTGTATCTAACTGACCACTTAGTTTGTGGTTGAGTAATTATTGTCATCAACTGCCTGTTTGCACATTAAATGAAGACCAGGTGAAAATGTTAATTAGGTTAATCATTTTAAATAATTTTTGTTATTAAAGAAACGTGTTTTTCTGCTCTTGCTGCAGTTTTGCAATTGCTATTTAAAATAGTTTTCACATGGCCTTCCAACATTGGAGACCCAGATTAGAAGCTCAAATTCAAGCGGATGATTGGGTCAATACATCTCATTAAGGAAACCATATTATAGAGGCTTATCATTAATGCATAAAAGGCTATTATATTTCGAAGTAAGTTGAGAAGAGATAGTAATGTGTGACAAATACCAATTTTCCTGTTGTTATATTGAGGGACTCCATGTAATTCTGGCCAAACTTTATTCACTTTCTTAGCCAGAAAATCTTACCGTGTACAATTCACTTCCTTGGAAGTATATGAGTAAAATAATGTTTTTTAATAAAACAAAATCTAAGCAATAAAATTTGACCTTTATTTCCCTTAAATATAAATGAAATGAAATAAGTGTATATTAACTATTACTGAATTAATGTCAAATATTTGCATCTGAAGCAAATAAAAATAATTTGAAGACCTGAGTTTTTCATCTTTTCTGCTACTATAGCAGAAAACCTTTTATGTAGGCTTGCTTAGTCAACAACTTGTAATCAAATCTCTCCTGGAGCAAATGCTGGATGATTTTCTATCATTTTCTCAAGTTATCAAAACTGCCTCAGGTAGTTGGGTCATTAAATAGCAATAGGTATCAACAAAAAGCAGCCTCACATCATTAGTGCTAATGATGTCTCAGGCTTACATCTAAAAAATGACATATGGACTTCAGAATAATTTAAGTTGACTTCAGTGTCAGATATTTACTGCAGGATAGTTTTAAGACAGCCGTCGCCAGCTCAGGGGAAAGGCACAATAAGAATTATTTCAACAAAATATTTGTATCAGAGTGTAATAGTGCCTCTGGTCAACTTAATTTTATGATGATGATTAATCAATGTTCAACAATGACTGATAGTATACACATATATTAATGGGTAATCAACTTGACCTTAAGCAATTATTTTACTTGGATTCCTCAGCAAAATTTGCCTAAAACTTAGCTAAATTTTGTGATCTGTTAAAGAAGATTACAAAAACCTTTTCAAATGTTAACAAAAATGCCTTAAGAAGGTTCTAAATCTTGGATTCTCTAACTGTTCAAACTTATAATATTTCATTTTTCTTGAATTTTGATTACTGACTTAGTTTCTTCTTAAATATTGAGGCTAAATTAAAAATAAAGCATGAAGAAGCTATTAGAGGCTGTAGTTTCTCAATCATTATGTAGTTTTTATATTGAGAGTGAAAAAAATAATATGAAACTAGACCCCCAAAATAGATTCTCATTATAATTTAGTAACTTGTATTTTCAAAATGTAATAAAAATAGGGCTATGAAGTTACAAGGTGACAGGAAAGTAAACTAGCTCAAAATAGAAGAAAAACAGTCATATTAAAATATTTCTAGGTTGTGAAGATATACTAAAAAAAAAGATACTAAGTAAATAAATAAAATGCTACAAACATGTTCGGTCTTCATGAGAACAAATTGTCCTCTCAAAAAAACAAAATATTTTATAATTTCTAACTTATTTTGATACATTCATTTTCTATTGATGTCTCAACCTTCTGTAACCTAGCTTCCATTCCTCACCAGAATAGACAAAAATGAAAGTGATCATAAAACATCAGTCACCTACTAATTTCTAAAATCAGTGGCCTGCTACTTTATATCGGGGTAGCATTTTGCACTTGGCTCCAATAAACACTTTATTTGATTTTAACTCTTCTTCTTCCTTGATACTAACCAGACCTCTCTATTCTCTTCTTGTCAAGGGTCAGATTCTTCTTTTTTGTATTTATGTTTAATTGACACTTAATAATTGTACATATTTATGGTGTACAGTGTTATGTGTCAATACACATGTACAATGTGTAATGAACAAATTGGAATTATTAGCATATTCATCATCTCAGATATTTATCACTTTTTTTTTTGTTGAGGACATTCAAAATCCTCCCTTCTAGCTATATTGAAATATACAATATGTTATTGGTTTTTCTCTAACTCAGTGTTTGAAAATGATATAACAAAGTTTATAGCTTCTGCCTTTCTATTTGTATTTAATAATCAGCTTCTTCTGTGAGATGATTGTCTATTCATATGTCTGCCATAATCTATAATTTCTGCCAAGATGTAATTCTTGAATGGTTTACTAATTTACCCAACTATCTGGTACATGTCTTTGGAGGCAGTATGGATGTCTCCAAGTCTATTTGTCCATGCAGAATTCATTACTTTCTGTTTCCCTAGGCAGTGCAAAGTAAAGCAAAAATAAGCAAACAGTAATAAAACCATACAAAGACAGCCTGTTCTCTCTGATTGTATTCATTACTTTTTGAGTAAGGTCGATATGCACTCATCCTCTAAACTGAAAGAAACCGTGAACATATTGGTCCTGTGAACCCCCTGCCCAAAATATATCTGGTACCCAATTTCATAGGTTCCATTTTCTAAACATTATTTTATAAGCTCTTATCTTTGACGTCATTGCTTTTACTTTAGGCCATCAACATTTCCTTCTGCACTATTGTTACTGCCCTGCCTTATAGCTTTGAGAATCTCCTCATTGCCAAGTGGAACCCCATGTTTTTTAGAAATTTGCTTCAACCTACCTTTCAATCCCATCTCTTGATATTTTTCTGAATTTAGCTAAAATAAAAGCAGCTTTTCTTGTGGATATGAACAAAAGCTTTAATAATAGGTTGCAATAATTTTATTTGTTATAGGCCAGTTAAATTATAATTAGCAATTTTAAAATCAACAAGAATAAGAGAAGTTATTTGTGTAATAATTTATATTTCAGACCATAAAATCAAATTGTTTACGTAAAGCTCAATGGCAAATTGATAGCGAATGTTTTCTTTTTTCAGTTTTTCATAAAGGGTGATTCAAAATTATAATAACAAAGCTAAAGAAAACTATATTTCTGTGAAATGTAAGATTTATATTGTCAACTATCAATTTGGACTAATAGTCAACTAGAAATTGTTATATTAAGCAACTAATACCAGTAATGTTTTGTTCAGCAAGTAAATATTATGAGAAGGCAGAATTTTATGTTACTAAGTGGTCAATATAAAATTTTTCATGTTTTTCCTTCTGAGAGTTAAAAATAAAAATTTCGTATATGAAACATTTAGAGTTCTCAATCATTTCTTTCCATTTTAAAGATTTAATTTTTCTTAAAGCTGATAAAAATATCAAGAACATACCAAGAGGGGTAGTTGCTAAATAAATTTATATATATATGAATTATATATATATAGCTTATTAACAAAGTTAATAGTTAAATAGTTAAAATGAACTAAATATATATATATTTAATATATATATTAAATATATATTTAATATATATATATTTAATATATATTAAATATAATATATATAAATAAATATAAATATATATATATAAATATATATATATATTTCATTATCAAAGTTGACCATTTAAGGGAAAACAATATTTTGGCCTTCCATCTGCCATCTCATCCCCAACCTTATGCTGGCCAATAATAATTGCTTTTAAAGCTCCTTCTCCCACAACACCTCTAAAAAATGTTAAATTGCAGCATCTTTAAACTCCAACTGAACCAAACATTCCTATTTTAGTGTGATGATTTGTCTAAATTCTGATGTGTAGCACAGTGCAAATGATATAATTTAAATAGAATTTTAATGAGGGGCAAAAAGAAAGACAATTTATACTTTCTCGTATTTCTCTAAATATATTAACTGTCTCAAGGAACAGCTTTGTGAGCCAAGTCATATGTATCATTGTAAACTGGTGGTATAGAAAAACATGGAAACAAATATTTCTTTATATTGTGTGTAATTGGGACAAAAATAAATGGCCTACAGACTGAAGGGCATAACTTAGTTACCCTTTCTGGCTTTCAAATAACCATTTATCATAGGATTTCTGCTCGCAACTGAACCTGCTGTATTCTTTCATTGGGACTTAGCAAGTAAACTGAATCAAGCTCTCATTCTAAATACTATTCACCACTTTGAGAGTCTAGCCTCAGTGTAAATGAGGCTAATGGGATAAGATCTAAGTATTTTTGCTCTTTTTTCTACAAAATCTATAAACACCCCAAAACTAAGCCTGGATTTTGGGTATGCAGACCGGCATGCTAAATGAGTATTTGTTTACTATAAAATTTTCATTTTCTCCTTCTTCACAATTTTCCTCCTATCAAGATTTCTTTGTCTTATAGGTTCTATTTATAAATAGTGTTATGACATTCATATACTCTCATATATTTTAATCTCTTAGAATGATTTCCATATTAGTATCCAGACTGTATACTGTAGGGATACATTTACAGTGTTTGAAACATATTGCATTTTGTTACAGTCATTCAAAATACTGCCTTAAGCATCATTGCCTCCATCAGCGCCTCTGCCTATGCCAAATATCTGGAAAGATCTATTAACAGATGCCTGTTTACTCTAAAGTGATATTAACATTCCTTATCAGACTGAATTAATTGCTTGAGTATAGTAGAAGAGTGACTTGCATAGAAGATGTGTGTGCCTCCAGGAACAGCAAGCCTTATCAGCTGGTTACATATAAGCCTTTTCCGCATTAAACTTGTGTGTCCCATATCACAGGCAGAGTCTAGTGCTCAATACACACAAAAAAATTTATTAGATACATGTCAATTTTCATCTGTTTAGTGAAAATACTTTTAATAACTGGTTAATCCAATCCACCTTTGTCTAGATGGATTTCTAAGAGTACAGAGTTTTTGTTTGTTTGTTTTTAACCACTATGTTAGTGGGACACAATCTTCATAGTAAGTAATCTGTGCAATAGCCCCGAGAAGCCAGTAATATAGTAATAAAAATAATTACCATTATCACCATCATTATAGCAAATTATAGTGCATATAATATTGCAATAGGTTTTTGATAGAATATTTTCTTGAAGTCAGTAAAAACCCTGTGAGGTAGGGAGTATTTTTCTTATACAGAAGCTTTTTGATAATTGTTAATTTCTTACATCTTCATATAGATTATTTCCCAAAGTCATGGCTAAGAAGTGACAAAATTTGAACAAAAACTGGTTTTTCTGATTCCTAAGGTCTATGTTCTTTTCACCGAACAACAGGTAACTGCAAAGAACAATAACCATGACAATAAAAGTCACCAAATTTTGGCTCTAGATTATACAGGAATCCCAATAAAATTTTAGTTACAGTAGTATAAAGGCATCTACTTAGATATAGATCACACTTTTTTTCTTATGCCTAGATCTCCTGAACCAGAAAGTTAGCAAAAGTGGATGTTTAAGTTTTAAATAATGTATTCTAAAGACTTGTTTCCACTTAATAAAACTAGATTGAGACCATGCATAATTTTCCATATTGAGATAATTTAAAATTATTTTGCCCTACTCTGAAAAGTTTAAGTCTGATAGGTAAATTTTATGATATGGTGACAAGACTGTGCAAAGTATTTAACTCTAATTCTCTGAGCCTTGGTTCTTTGATTTGTAAAATAGTGATAATAAACCCATTTTAAAAATAGGTGAAAAGTATTTTTCATTATTTCTGGCACATAGTAAATATGCACCAGAAGTCAGGCATTAATATTTGAATTTTTAAAAAGTACTGCAGGTAAATTATCTCAGTGTGTTTAAATAATAAAAGTATCACTAAGAACCCAGCAAAAGACAAGCTATATGTTAAAGCACAAAGTACTGAAAGAATATAACTCTGAAAGAACAAGTGTAATATCATATAACACATATTAATTAAAATGGAAATGTGTCTCTTTTTTTACTTTCTCTAGTTTATAGAATCATTCCTCAATAATGGTTTCTCTTGGTCTCCCAAAGAAATAAACTTTATGTGAACAATTAGATCATAATTTTTCTGTGCCCTTCCTTTCATCTTTTTTTTCTCCTTTTTTTTCTTTCTATTTTTCTCATCTTTTCTTCAGGTATCACAGGCATTAACCTATAGGCATTCTCCCAAGTCACTTGGTTAATTTTGTGGGAATGACTGAGTTTCCAAAATACCTTTATTGACTTGGTATCTGTAGGCCATGCTAACTGCTACTAGGAAATTAACTGAAAGTCAAGATTACCAAATGTTTAGGATAATTATTTCTATGATGGAAATTCTGGGTCCCATTTTTCTAAAGCAGAAATGGTAAAGAAAAAATATACTGAAAGCTGTATAACCAGTGATTCTTAGATGATCACTAAGTATTTGTGCAATAGACAAAACATCTTTGCAAACTCTTTAATTTCTAAGATTTATCTTAATATTTTAAATCATTTTAATATTATAATCTAAAATATACCCATGAGATGTAAGATTAATAAGTGTCACTATTAAGGAAAAAAGACATGCTATTCAGTGCTTGTTACTAGGAAAATACAATATATTTTCTTATTTTTCTATGGAGAAGTAAAAATAACTGAATATATGAAAAGCATGTGAATATTTTTCTACCAAAGAATCAGTAGAGATATTAATTTGAATCATAGGTTAAAAATAATCTGAAAAAGTACACCTTAGCATTGCATACTTAAAAAAGCATTTCCTATAACTCTATGAATATAGCTTAGGAAATATTGAATTTTCATTAACGAAATTGATTTGGCTAGAACTCTTTATAAAGAAATAAAACCACTAAAATTTAAAGCCTCTGCCATGTGATGTTTAACAGGAAAATTTATAAACACATACTGTTCTCTGAAATTTCCTCATGAAGAAATTTTAGGGATTTTAAAGAACATTAGTCTTTTCCTGTAGTTGCTCATAGATTAAGTGCTAATTCAATAAAACTGTCTTCATTTGTGTGTGTACATATATATGTGCATTATAGATACATATATATGTGCATTATAAATACATATGTACAGATATCCATATATATGTATGTATATATTGAAAACATGTTTCTATTAATTAGTGCGTAGGTGTTTGCTATATATTTTGAATGTATATACAATTATTTTTCTAGGTTTTTTGGCTCAATGTATTGAAAAGAGAATTAGAATAGATTTTCTGATCATCTTTACACATGGTAAAATTGAATAGAATATTTAGGCTTTACCTCTTTAAAAGAATTGCTGGCAGCATTGGAAATGTTGTCAATTTACATGTCTATTCTTGTTTAAAAGCTCATCCATAATTTTTTTTTAAAATAAATCTTTTTAAGATGATGAATTTATGATATCTCTGAAGAATAATCTTCATTATACTTGGAGATTATTGTTTTATTTGCTGTTACTGATGAAGCTTTGAACTTCATTCCGTATATACTCTTCAAACACTCCCTCTATCCACAGTTATCTTTAGTTAAAAGCATAAAGGTTAAGCATTTTATTAGAAGTCTAATATTTACATTGTTGTAATACTAAAATCTTAGTCACTGTGTTGCTGGTCTCAGGCCTCCCTGAACTCTGAATTAATATTTATTTTTCAAGCTTTTCTCTCTTACCCCAGTTTTTTCTCTCTTGTCCTTTTTTTTTAAGTTTGCCAAGAAAGTGATAAATAAATCAAGCATACGGAATATAAAAACACTAAGCATATTTGTTTAATCTGATAATTAAGAATCTGAAATTGTTCTGGTTTATTATAATCATTAGACAAATTTTTATATCATGGTATTGAACTAAAGAGAGAAATAAGGAGGAAATGAAATGCATTTGAAAATTAAATGATATTGTTAAACTTGATAAGTATAAAAATTCATGAAAATAGAATAATGTTTTATTATCCAAATAGAGTCTATTTTACAAACATTAGATGGTAAACTAAAAATGGTTAGGGTAACATCTGTTTTGCTTACCTATGTCACTCAAGCTTCTGGCAAAGAGCTTGGAAAATCCTAGTTAAAATGAGTCATATAGATCATATATAGATCACATATAGTTAAAATGAGTTATATAGATCATATACATAATATCTAAGATAAGAAATCAGTGTGAACCATGTCTTGCATATGTTTAGCTTAAAAATGAACTAGAGTGCAGCAAGCCACCATGGCACAGGTATACCTATGTAACAAACCTGCACATTCTGCATATGTATCCCGGAACTTCAAAGTCAAAAACACACAAAAAAAGAGAGCTAAAGTGCAATGACTTCAAAAGACAGATAAATATGGAAGTTAATATAAAGATTTAATCATTCATTCAATCAGTCAGCATTTATAGAATTTATTGAATATCATTTACTTGGCTAGGAACTGAAGATATATGTTGAGACTTGAACCACACACTTTGTTTCTAAGGAAGACATTTTATCCCCTGGAAAACAAAAAAAGAAAATGGGCAATACCATTCAGGACATTGCATGGGCAAAGACTTCATGTCTAAAGCACCAAAAGCAATGGCAACAAAAGCCAAAATTGACAAATTGGATCTAATTAAACTAAAGAGCTTCTGAACAGCAAAAGAAACTATCATCACAGTGAACAGGCAACCTACAGAATGGGAGAAAATTTTTGCAATCTATCCATCTGACAAAGGGCTAATATCTGGAATCTAAAAAGATATTTAAAAAATTTACTAGAAAAAAACAAACAACCCCATCAAAAAATGGGCAAAGGATATGAACAGACACTTCTCAAAAGAAGACATTTATGCAGCCAACAGACATATGAAAAAATGCTCATCATCACTGGCCATGAGAAAAAATGCATTAATTTTTAAGTAGTAAAAATATTCAGTGCTCATAGTGGAAAAGGCAAATTTTACCATTTAGTAGGAAAATTACTTCTAAAAATATGGAATTATATAAAATATTTTGATTACTTCATTTGTTAAAATGATTTATACATAATTTCAATTTATTATTTAATAATAATTTATTAATTGGGGAGATAATACATTAGAGACAATGAAGACAGAATTAGAAAATGTTATGTGGCAGAGGGCTGACAAACAAAACGCATGTAAAGAATAGTCCTTGTTCTTCATAAAGTACTAACTGTTTCTCTGCATGCCTTGTGGGATCAAAAGGAGAGAAGGGTATTGGATAAGATCTTTGACCCTCCTTGTGTTTGGACAGGCCTCTGCTTTAAACTTAGTTTTTTCTCTTTTTCAGAAGAGTTATCTGAATTTTTAATATCAAATCTTACCAAATAGAAAGCAAAGAAGAAAGAGTAGTTATGGATTTATATCATACTCAATTATACATGGAGTATTGTCATGAAGATTTTTAACCCAAGCAAGAAGAGAGTCATAGCTGTAAACGTAAAGCACCGCTTTCCTACTAAAAAGAAAAAATCCATTCCTTATTATGAGATTATATGCTACAAACTGAACTTCACATTATAGAATTTCCAATGTTCAGGTCTTAAATTAGTATTAATGTCTAATACATGAGTTTTGCTTTTTTCCATAATACATTGTAAGGTCTAGACCAGTCATTGTCAAGTAGGGGTGATTTTGCCTTCAGGAAACTTTTGGCAATGTCTGGAAACATTTGTCATTGTCACGCTGAAAATGGTAATGCTACTGACATCTAGTGGGTAGGGGCAGGGATGCTGTTACACATTGCACGATGTACAGCACAGCCTCCCACGAGAATTACTTATGCCAACTGTGGCAACATAGAGAAAACCTGTACATGATGGTACATAATAATTCATTTTATCCTCACAACAACCCTTAGGATACACACTAATATATCAACATATTTTGTCTAAAAGTACTGAGCCACGGGGATGTTAAGCAGAATTTTCAAATTTATAGAGGTGGAATAGAAACCCAGATAACTTGGATCCAAATATCTCTCGCTTAACTCCCATTCTAGAGTCTCTTTGTACTTTCTAGGATTTTCCCCTCAAGTTTATCACTGAATACCATACTTTACAGCATTTTTATAAATAGAATTAATATGAGAATTTTCTTTGACTCATTTCACCCTTTGAAATTGATTACTAAATCTTCCATACAATGGAGTAAATAAATCATCCAACCAAACAGCATTCTCTGTTTCTATTCTGCTTCAGGTTCATGCTAGGAATTGTAGACTAAAAAGAAAACGAGGTTTGAATAGTGTAAGAAACACAAGCCAATGCTCAATTTTGTTGGCTCGACAGTGTCTACTAAGGCAGTTCATAGAAGAGGAAGATTGCTGAATGCTTGAGCCACAGGGGAAAGCTTCAGAGAGGAAGCCAGGCTGGAGCCGAACTTTCACAGTGTTCTTGATTTACTTGAGTTATCTTGTTTGTTTTTACATCTACTTCACTCTCATAACTTTTCTCCTTTTCAGTGTTTCATTTAATTAAATCCAATACATATTTACTGAGAAGGCACTGTGTGTTCATCTCTTCTTTAGACACTGCAAAGTGCATGAAGCATTTTTACAGAATTTTTGCCCATAAGAAAATAAAAATCTAAAGAGACAAGTCATGGTTAGACTAGGAGTTACATAACAGTAAAAGAAAATGTATGAGAGATATTGAAATAGCACATAATTAAGCGTTAAAATAATTGTATGGGCCGGGCTCACGCCTGTAATCCCAGAACTTTGGGGGGCCGAGGCGGGCAGATCACGAAGTCAGGAGATCGAGACCATCTTGGCTAACACGGTGAAACCCCATCTCTACTAAAAATACAAAAAAAAAAAATTAGCTGGGCGTGGTGGCAGGCACCTGTAGTCCCAGCTACTTGGGAGGCTAAGGCAGGAGAATTGCTTGAACTCGGGAACTGGAGGTTACAGTGAGCAGAGATTGCGCCACTGCACTCCAGCCCAGCGACAGAGTGAGACACCATCTCAAAATAAATAAATAAATAAATAAATAAATAAATAAATAAATAATAATTATATGGATAGTCAAACAAACCAAAGCAGAGAGCATTATTTATTTTTAAGATGTAAAGACCAGGGGGGTGTTTGTAGTAGAGATGGGCTTAAATGGGGCTTTGGTTAAGTTAAATGAAGTGGGGAATGGAAGACTTTCCAAATTATAAGACCAATCAGAATGAAGTCACGTGTATGAGAGTGAGCACGACAATTCATAGCCAAACATCTTCTCTATTTTTTTTTTGGTAAAATGTCATTTATTAAATGTATATTACATTAGCAAAAGACGTGTTCATTCTTTGATATTTCCACTGGTAACTTTATAGAAAATTATTTTTGAATGTGCATTTGTACATTTGAATCTACATTCCATAGTTAGATTGAGTCATTTATTGAACAATGAATTGTTATTATTGGTTTAGTCATTCTTTCAGATAAGAAAGCCATAATTATACATAATTTTCTCACCAAAAATAACCTAAGAACCTGGTAGGGCTAGGGATAGAGCTAGTTCTTTTTAAGTTCACCTCTTCAGGAACACTCTCTTCCCATTTTAGCAATCTAACACTATCTGATACATATGGTAGCTCATATATATCAAGCATGATGTAATTTGTCAGAAATATCTCTGAAGATAACCGGGCTCATGCCGTAATCCAGCATTTTGGGAGGCCGAGGTGAGTGGATCACCTGAGGTCAGGAGTTCGAGAGCAGCCTGGACAACCTGCAAAGTCTTGTCTCTACTAAAAATACAAAAGTTAGCTGAGCATGGTGTGTGCACCCATAATCACAGCTACTCGGGGAGCTGAGGCAGGAGAATTGCTTGAACCCGGGAGGCAGAGGCTGCAATGAGCTGAGATCATGCCATTGCACTCCAGCCTGGGTGACAGAGTGAGTCTCCATCTCAAAAAAAAAAAAAAAAAAAAAGAAAGAAAGAAAATGCCCTGAATCAAAAATAAAAATGGAAATTAAAAATAAAAACAAAAACAAAAAATTGAATCACTTTTAAATGATCAAAGTTATCATGTCCAGTGGTAGAAAAAATCAAAATCATTCACCACCTGATAAGATGCAATGAGAATATAAAATGACTTCTATTGTATTCCTGTCCAAAATTCTTAACCTGATTTCATCATGTGGGAACACCCAAAAAACCAATATTGTGGAACTTTCCACAAAATTACGAGTCCTGAAGAATTTTAAAAAATGCCAGTGCCATGAAAGGCAAGGAAAAACTGATGAGCTGTTTGGGATTGAAGGATACATAGGAGGCATGACATCTAAATGCAAAGCACGATTGGGTTGGTTCTTTTTGCTGTAAAGGAAATTATTGGACTATTGGAAGAACTTAAATTTGTCTTTGAATGAGATTAAGTATAAATGTCAATATCCTGATTTTGATGGTCGTAATTTGGTCATATACAAGATCATTTTTTTGTGTGTGAAAAATATTCACTGTAGGATTCAAGGATAATTGGGGCATCATGTCTGTAACTTAATCTCCAATTGTTCAGAGGCAACAATAATATGCATACATTTATATTCAGAAGGAAATTTATAAGGCAAATAATGTAAAATGTCCACAATTGGGGAATCTGAATTAAGAGCATATAAGAGTTTTTTCTACTGGTCTTACAACTTTTCTGTAAGCTTGACATTATTTTATAATAGAAATTGTTGGAAAATAAGTATTCATAACATCAGTCATAGAGAAGATATTTCAGCCAGGTATGGAAAACCGAACTTGTGTTGAAAGGAAATGCAGCTATAATTTAAATCAACACTTAAATAAGGCATTGAACCCTTTATTAAAACTGTCTTAGTAACCATGATAAGTTGCCATGAAATTTTCACACCATTGTTTGAATTTGTTTTAAATAACTTCTTATAGAAAATGAAGTAGACAAATAGATCTACTACACTGTTACTTTGACATTTTTCACAGGATGAGGAGACAGTACTTATAGGATGAAACACTTTTTTTTCTTTGTTTATATCCACCTCAGGCAACATAAAAACACAGATATTTTTCAAAAAAATCTTTAATAGCACATGTGATCAGATGCATTAAGATGATTATTCAGATGAAATTCGCTTGTATTTTGTTCTATTGTTGATACTGAGAATTTCCACAAAAGCCTGCTTTTGAATAAAAATATTATTAATGAGAAAAGGCATTTAATTTTGGAAAAAGAAAGCACGTACACATTGATGTTTGTGATCTATCAGTGGGAAAAGAGTTAATATTGGGAAATTTTAAAAATGCAAACACAAATTCTCTTAAAAATCTTCAAAACTTTAAAAATATACATAAAAATACGAAATGTAATTTGTTTTTCTAACCTTTGTCAATACCAGATGTGGGGATATTACAGTAACTACCCAAATAAACTAAATTTGATTTTAGATAGTGTTAATATTTTATCTTTAGGGAGAAATTGCTTAAAACAGCATTCACACTGTTTATACTGCGTATGCATTAAAGCGCAACAAATAAAAACGTGAAAAAAAGCATGATGTATTTAGTATATAAACTACAAGTAAATTTTAGTGTTTTTTACTTATTAAAGAATTGCAGGCTTAAGTGGGTGGATCACTTGACGTCAGGAGTTCAAGACCAGCCTGGCCAACATGGCGAAATCCCGTCTCTACTAAAAATACAAAAATTAGCCAGGTATGGTGGTGCATGCCTGTGATCCGAGCTACTCTGGAGGCTGATGCAGGAGAATACTTGAATCCAGCCGGCAGAGGTTTTGGTGAGCTAAGATCGTGCCATTGCACTCCAGACTGGTCAACAGAGTGACACTCTGTCTCACAAAAAAAAAAAAAAAAAAAAAAAAAAAGAATTGCAAATTGCAAATTATACTTAATAGCAATGATCAAAAGGCTGGAGGCATACTCTTTGTTTAAATGGCATTGAGAAATGAAGTGAAGCAAAATCAAATAAAAAAGTGATCACGTATGTATAATTTTAAGGACAATATTGTACTTTTTAATATCTACTCAAACGAATGCATTGAATATAGCCAATTTTTGGAAGAAAGTAACGAACATATTTGTTCAAACTCTCAAGCTCAAATTTCATATATATATAAATATATATACACACATATATATAAATGTATACACACATATATAAATATATATACACACATATATATAAATATATATACATATATACATATATATACATATATATAAAAATATATATACATATATATAAATATATATACATATATATATATTTTTTTTAAGATGCAGTCTTACTCTGTCACCTAGGCTGGAGTGCAGTGGGGAGATTTCCACTCACTGCAACTTCCGCCTTCCAGGTTGAAGTGATTCTCCTGCCTCAGCCTGCATAGTAGCTGAGATTACAGGCATGAGCCATCACATCCGCCAGTTTTTTGTTTTTTTTTTTAAGATGGAGTCTCGCTCTGTCGCCCAGGCTGGAGTGCAGTGGCACGATCTCCGCTCAGTGCAAGCTCCGCCTCCTAGGTTCACGCCATTCTCCTGCCTCAGCCTCCTGAGTAGCTGGGACTACAGGCGCCCACCACTGCGCCTGGCTAATTTTTTGTATTTTTGATAGAGACAGGTTTTCGCCATGATAACCAAGCTGGCCTTGAACTCCTGAACCTCAATTGATCTGCCTATTTTATTAAATTTTTGTCATCTTTCAGTATCTCCCAAGACTTTTATTTTATCCTACATCCTACTATCTCCTCCCAGTGTATCATGTTGTCACCAAATGTGCAGTATCTTTTGCTGCAATCCTCAGCCAATTGCAAAACTGCTGAAGTGTCAATATGAAGGCTCTCAGGTGGGAAGAATTCTCTCTTACTCTAGGAAAGGCCATGCTTATGTTCTTTTAAGGCTGTCAAATGATTAGATGAGGCTCACCTGCATTATGAAAGGTGAGCTTCTTCAACAGTCTAGCAGCTTAAATGTTAATCTTATCCCAAAACGCTTTTACAGAAACACTAAGAATAATGTTTGACCATTGACTAAATATCTGGGTACCCCATGGCTCAGTCAAGTTACACATAAAAGTAACCAACACATTTTATCACAAGAAAATTTATGTAAGCCTCTTGGGAAATCAGCTTTTAGTAGTACAGTTCCTTTCCAAAAATTATCTTTAAAAAAATCTTCAGGAAATATCTTAGAAAAACAATGGCATAACAAAATTAACAGATAAACAAAATGCACAGTGTTCATCTGCTTTTGGGATTGCTGGTCAAGCATATCATCTAATTTGTATGACAATGAGAGCTGTGAAATGTCTATATCCTAACAAACTCACTTATAATTAGGCAATCTATTAAAATGTGAGAGTTTTACCTAAAAACTTGAAAAATTAATACAATCTTAACACAAAAATTCATGAGAAGCTCTTAACCCTACTTAAGAGAGAATATTTTAATCCAATTTTAAAATATTGTTTGTTTTAAAATATAATAATCATATATTCAGAAAAATAATTTATTTTTTCATATGGTCTTGTTTTTCATCAATGAATTTGATTCAAATACAATGAATACAAAGAAAAATATCTTGATCTATTACCTACATATGAGTAGTATGAAAACGTGAGTCATTCAGTATCCTTTCTCATAATCATAATTTTCTGTATAACCCTAAATATTCAGAGTTTCCCTGTATGGCCCCTGTTCTGAAAATCTTTATCAAGACATTCTCAATGCAATCATTACCTCCCCTGTTCTAAATGCCATCTTTTATCTCCTATTCAGAGATTTCAATTGCTCTCATAAGAGTCCAGAGATTGTTTTCTGTTCACACAGCCTCTCCGCGTTTATTAAGGTTTAACGTTCAGAGGTTTAACCATAAGTGAAAGAGTTAAATGAAATGGAATTGTCTTTTTGCTTAAAGTGATATTTCTTACATACTCTAATCTGTTCTGTTTCTTCGTGTGTTTGTATGTGAACCTCAGTAAAACTGGAATTGGGAGGTTAAATACAGATACTACCAATTTCAGGGTATTATTGTTCATTGATGTTTATCCTAGGCATTTATTTCTAAAGCTAAGTTTTTGTTTTGTTTTGTTTTACTTTTGATCCCCACTTCTCCCTTTCTGTCTTCCCTAACAATTTTTACTTTCATTTGGCATTACAGTGCGAGAAAGAATTGTTCCTATCCGGTTTTGAGAATTACTTCATTTAGTTTACTTTTCTTCACTTTTTTTACTAACAGAAGTTAATTTTGAATACAAAACATAGATTGAACATGTCAAAGACTTACTCTGCAGATATCACCAACAGAAACTGTTGATAAGAGATAAAACAAAGATGAATGTTTTGCTTATTGCAGTGAGAGAGAACAGAGAACCTTGCAAAATTTAGACAGTGTCTTGGACTAGGGAATATAAAGTCAGAATTTATGGAGAATTGGATGTTTGATTTAAGGAGGGTCTTTCGAAGTAAGAACTGGACTAGGATGGGTTAAAGACCATGCCACAACCGTTCAGGATTGGTAGAAACAGCAAGGTGGGAGTTTAAGGCAAGAGCAGCAAAGAATCGTAAGGAAAAACTGCCTGCTGATGTTTCATTGAAGAGTAGGTGGGTGTTTCAGGAAGACTCTATAATGAACAATCAAAACCTTTGCCTTGGCAAGGTATTTCTGAAATAATAAATTATGCTTATGAAGACAGAGGAATATTAAAGGAACACTAACGAGGACAGAGGAATAGCGCAAAGTCATCTTAATATAGGCAGTAAGGAATTATTTTAGTTCTTAGTGTCTATACTGAGGGTGGGATTAGAAGGTTTTGGTTACCAAATAATATCTAGATAAATGCTTTCATACCACTATCCCATGAATTTTTTTCATATCCAAAGCGAATATAGTTTATTTTAATGTTGATATAACTTTCTATAATACTATGACAAAACACATGTCTAATAAGAAAGCTACTTTTAAATTAACATTTTCTAAAATTAAATATTTGTACCATGATTTATTTTGACATGATTGCCATTTTGCTGTGCATTTTGATTTATTCCTAGTTTACCTCCAAGCCCTGTACAGCCAGTATTTCTGCATCCTTCTACCATGTACTTTTACCTGTCTTCCAAAAAACCTCTTGATCTCATCTTTTCCTATTCCAAATACTAATATATCATCACTTATCCAAGTATAACTTGTCTTTTATTTATTCAGTTATTTCATTCAGAAGTTCAGAAAATACTGTGATCTTTCATAGAGTTTCGGCATGGAGCAGGAGGACAGTCAGATCTGCAGCCTCACAGTATTTAGTTTAGTAGATTAACAAAGACTGTACATGAGAAAGTATTGTAAGAAGGTACTCGTCATCTAGAACAAGAAGGTTTGGGTTATTAACGAAAAAAAAAGTAGAGATGGGGAAATATGTAATTCTTCCGCTACATATCATACTGTCAAGCTGAATTTTGAAAGATGAAATTATATTCCCCTGTGGAACAAGGTATAGTTTAAAATAAGGGGTATTAATTGAAGCATGAGTTACTGTGGAAATAATGTTAGCAGAATTTTGTATATAGCTATGATCAAACAGAAAACATTTTCAAAGAACAAGAAAAAATATTCTCAAAAATAATTTTAAAAAGTAAACTCAGATATACTGTACCAAGTTTTTTATTTAATAGGCTTACTCTACCTCTTCATGTTTATCACTTAGTGCCATCGTCTGGAAGGGCATATGAACATTTAATACTATATGCATGAAATCTGTTGACTGTTTGATGAACTATATTCCAGATGCTTACTCAAATAAAATATTTCTAAATTTGGCATGATTGAACTGAAAAAAACAAGGAGGCATCTTTGCTGAGTTAAAGTGTTTTTGTTTGAACTTACAAGGAAGCTGCCACCAGCTGGTATCGCTTACCATAGTGGTGGAAATATTTCATATTTTAGAATTAAATTATACTCTGTCCAGTCAAACAGAGACATTAAAAGGATATCACATCAAAATAGGCATAACGTATAATTAAAGAAAAAAGCTGGTGCTTCTTCAGAATGTTAAATGGGAGTAAGTTAACAAAAGAAATAAAATGTTGTGTTTTTCCTTCATGTTCACTCCATTATTCCATGAATTACATTAAACTTTGTCCCACACATGACCTTGAATATTTAACCACCTGCTCAATTTGATCTGGGAACACTCAGGCTTTGAAAAGCTGCCTGCATAAGACCTGACAAGAGTGTGCCTCCCAAATATGTAAAGTTTACTGCACAGGCTGAGGGAATGTGGGAATTGCTCAGCTGCCTGCAAGTGTTTCTGGTCCTGAAAATTTGGGAAAAATTGCTTGTAATGCAGTTAAAGGTTTTTAAAGCCTGGGCCTGTCTATATTTGAATAGTGTCATTTAAAATGAGATTTAGAATATTATTCTCTTAGTGGGAACATCTTTTTAAGGGAGACTGTATAAGAACTGCATAGAGAGAGTTTTGCCTCAACTTGTGGGTCATTGACTTCCTTACATTTACTCTCTGGAGTACTTACACAGTGCAGACATCCATTAGAGAAATGGTGGAAATAATATATATTTCCACATGCAACACACACAGATATCCATATATATATAATAGTAGTTATTAGAAATACTGTTTAAGTCATATATTGCTGTTGACTTTGAGTATTTCCTTAAATACTTTTACACTTAAAGCAGATAGAAGATTATGACAATTTATCTCCTGATTTAAAAGTGCAGGAAACTTATATTTTAGTTTGTGTTTTTTGAGGTTTCTTAAAAGGTTAACAATTAAAGCACTATAGTTCATCTTATAAAAATATCTCTTTCTGATAGATCCAAAGCAGCTTTATAGAATCTATACATACCGATTGTGTTGTCATCTTTTGTATTATAAAAGCAGCACTAGAAGACAAACACATTTAGAAAAGGAGAGCAGTTGACTTAAAGTAAGTTGTCAGTCTAACTTTAGGAGGACTATCTTGCCAAATAAAAACAAAGAAAAATAACATCAAGATTATATATCTTAAGAAGTTTATATTATTCTGTTATCGGTGAAAAAAACCAGCTAATTTATTTTATGATTATCACATTGGGAAGCGAGGGATAAAGCTGATTTTGATTGCAAATTAGGGATTAAAATGTACCTTCACGGCTTCATTTATTTGGAGGACCAGGTCTGACTTTGTTTACTTTGGTTTATCTCAGAGTTGGTTACGAGGTGGTGTTTTGTTTTCTTGTTTCCTGACTTGGAAGATGATATATACACTTACAGTGGTATAAGGGTGAAATATCAATTTTGCTTCCACAGTATCCAGACCAAATACATGCCTTTTTGATATTTATAATTTTATGAGTTAAAAAGAAAATCACTTTCTTTCTCAAATGACTGGATGACCATGTCAAATCCAACCTAGCTTTTCAAATGATTTTTTAGTCTTTGAATCTACTGTATCCATGTGGTTCTGGTTATTAATTAACTTGAATTTTTCTTCCTCAAATAGTCAGACACAATGCTATGCTGCTGTTCCTAGAATGATGCTAAGCTTTACAGAGAGATTTTAATTTAATACTAGTGAGTCCTTAAGTAGAAGTTTTCAAGTCAGCTTACAATGAATATTTTTACAGGTATGAATTCCTGAAGGCTTATTTATCCTTAAATGCTTTGAACATATTCACTTGATCTGTAGAGTGAGAGCTAATCTATTTTTAGAGATCTTCTAGTAAAATGATTTGTTGCAGCTTGGATTATTTTTTCTTATTTTTTTATGCCTTGAAAAATTGAAGAGAAAAGGAATATGTCATTGACTAGAATTCCAAAGCTCAAGGTACACTTATGGAAGTTGAAGTCAGTGACTCTTATAACTTAAGAGAAACACGCAGCAGGAATCCATTCTATTAGAGCACTTCAGTAAAGAATCACAGCGAGGCCATTTCCCCCTCTCAATTGCAATGTAAGAAATTCTGTGAAAATAAAGATCAGTTGTATAATTTTCATGTTTACCTTTGCTTTGTTCTTGCCCCTTAAAATTTATATTTCACTCCTTTACACATAAATGTGCCTGGTTCAGGGAAATAATTCTGTCTTCTATTTTTCATTTGAATTAATTTTATATGATTGCTTTGTATTAATTATATTTTTTCTGTTCCTTTCTTTAGTTGATGGTTTCTTTTTTTTTGTTTTTTTTTTGCAGTGAGTTATTTTATCAAAGTGAATCATTATTAAGGATCGTGTTTGTTTTCCTTTACTTAGATTTCCCTTTCTTAACAACCACTCATGTGGTTACATAATATTGCTACATCAATTGATTTGCATGTCAATAATAAAAGTATATTCATTAGATATCTTGCTTTTTCCTCCTTTCCACTCAATATTTTTTTGAAATTCTTATTACCGAAATCAATGCACCTAAAATTAGTGAAGAATTAGGTAATCATTTGTCCTTGCTTTATAATGAAAATTTGGCCATTTATATGATACAACAAAAATATCAACTTTGTTTCAAATAAAAGTGAAAATATTTATCTTTCAATTTGAATAAATGTTAGGTCATTATTGGCACTGAGGGATATAATCATACATAACTATATATGTACAATTATTCTAATTTGAATCAAAGTACAAATATTACTCTTGTCAACGCCATTTTTTTTTCTGGAGCTTATTAGGAATAGAACTGACTACAAGAGTTTGTTTAAAAGAGTATGACAACTTTTAAAATATACCTTTATTTATATTCAGCTACATGGCACAATGAAATATAGTTTTTACCTTTAAAATGGATGGCATAATAAAATATTGAATTACATTATCGTGTCTAAATCAACCAATATTTAGAAAATTCTTGATTTATATATGAATTTTGGAGAATCATTATTCATATGTCGAAATAAATCATATCAAAATGTGACCTAGGTGGAAATTGAACAATGAGAACACATGGACACAGGAAGGGGAACATCACACTCCGGGGACTGTTGTGGGGTGGGGGGAGGGGGGAGGGATAGCATTAAGAGATACACCTAATGCTAAATGACGAGTTAATGGGTGCAGCACACCAACATGGCACATGTATACATATGTAACAAACCTGCACATTGTGCACATGTACCCTAAAACTTAAAGTATAATAATAATAATAATAAAGTGACCTAATGCAGAGGAAAGGAAATAAAGTGTAAATGCATATGTTTGTGTGCATGTGGGCATTTTAAATACATACATCATATTATAAAGAATACCTAACAGAGAGAGAGAGAGAGAGAGAGAGAAGCCTATTCTGTTGCTAAGATCAGAAATATAATCTGAGTTCTGTCAACTGAAGAATGAAGATGTTCATAAATTTGGAAAGGAGAGCTTTATTTCTTATAAAGAGTTGCAGCTTACAGGCTGGTTATCCCACAGGCTGGGAAGCCTGGGCTCTGGCAGAAGACAAGAGTAAGCATTTCGAGGGGGTTATGAAAGGAACAGAAATTTATGCTGAGTGAGATGGCCAAATATACATATTTACTGTGCTATAGGAGGAATCACGAATATGGGAGGTGGGACATGTGCATGCACAATTGAGCTTCATTTGTCTTCACGGAAACCCATGTCCAAAAAATGCCATTGTCATTAGCTTGACCCATGCTAATGTCAAGCTTGGGTCGACGCTCAAACTTCAGAGCGTGTCGATGCTCTGACTTCAAAAGGTAAGGTAGAGGTTGCAAAAACCCTCATTGTGCACACTCTGTGATTTGGCCAAAACCAATCCAGGACGGTGGTCAGTTTTTAGGAAGGAGGCATTGTGAAACTGGTGAGCTGTCACCTCAAAACTGCAAAGAGGGAAGGGGAGTTCAGTGGAGGTCGAGATGATGGTTAGCTAAAGGCAATAAAGGAATGCATCATCCGTCTCTTGTTTTCAGAGCTGGCTTCTCCTTACTCCTTCGGAAATAATTTTGGTTAAAGGTTAATATGAAAAGAGAATACTGAGGCATGGTGAGCACCTATCCCATCACGGCCAGGAACTCAATTTTTAAGGTTACTCTAGGTCCCCTTGGCTTAGAGACTTAGGGTATTATTTTTATTTCTCACTTCGTATGTAGATTTGTTTGCTGTGAAATAAATTGGACTAGATATTTTTTAATAGAAGTTAACAAGAGATTTTCATTCGGGCCATTTTTCATTCACTTATTTAACAAGAATTCATGGGTTCTTACTTTGTGCCAAGCACTATTTTAGATGCAGAGGGTAGAGCAGGGACAAAACAATTGTAGATAATGGTGAGTGCAAAGGAAAAAATAAAATCGCGAAAACATAGAGTTGCGATGTCAGATAGGGTGGCTTTGGAGGATAGCTGTAAATTGTATCTGAGAAAAGAATATTTTAGCAAGTGGCAATATCTGAGATGATAGTGGGTATATTGTCTTTGAGAACAGAAGGGTCTGTTGTGTTTGATGCAGAATAAAGGAGGGGAAGAAGAGTGGGCTAGTGATGTATTTATTCTCAGTCTGTTCACAAATCTGAATGACTGCTGCACACGTTTCATGTTTGTTGTAATATGAGCTGGAAATAAGATTCTGATCTGAAAATAGAGGGTCAACTTTAAACTTAGGTGGAGATATAAATGTTGTGATCCACCAAATAAGCCATTTTAAATAATGTTTTGAATTAATAATTCATTCAAACGAATACTACTGGGACATGGTTTATGTAACAAATAAAATGCTTTTTCAGTCACAATTAGAACAGATACTATGCCAACCCTCACTAGCTGCCTATCTAGTGGGTGAGGTAGCTATACTATCAGATAATTTCAACAAATGATGTAGGAGACTGAAAGAGTGAGGTAGGTAAGAATGTTCTAATACTAGAGTATTCAGGGATGTTTTTCTGTATGACTAGTTGCATTCTACCATCAATCTTGAGGAATGATTGGGAGTTAATATAAAGAAAAACATAAAGAAAAAAATACTAGGGAGTTGCAGAGAAGGAAGAGCTGTGGTGAGATGGAGCTGAACACCTCTAAACTATTGAGAAACATTTGTAGCTGTTGCACAGAATTCCAGGAGTCAGAGAGGTTGGAAAGCTAGTTCAGGGTCAGTCCATGCAGAATCTACAGGCCTGTGAAGGACTCTGGTATTTTGACAAGTGGAAGCCAGATTTTAAGTAGAAAAGATAATACAATGAGATCTGCGTTTTGAAAAGATGCCTAAGATGTACATTCTTGACTTTGAGTAGCTCTCGAGTTATGGGAAAGAGAAACACGTACATAATATTCTTTCACAAGGCACATTAACAAGTTTTTGAGCACAGATAATAACATAGTAGAACTAAGAATGTTCAAATGCTATGCATTTAATGTCCTGTTCATTTTCCATTTACATTTGAATTTTTATAACTATGACATTCTATTTCTACTGTTTTATGAAGACTTTGAAAAAGAGCTGTAAAGCAGCACCTGGAAGTTTTTATTTATAAATGCAAGATTACTTAAAAGTGATGGGAAATTTTTGAATGGGTATTTTATGATAAAATCTGCAGCATTTATTTAAAGACAAATTGAATGAGATGATACATGATATCACTGACCTTCCACTCACTGCTGGGATATAGAAGTATGAAGATTAGTTGGTACCAGTTATTCTATGATTAACAAGGCTACTAGAAGAATTTTTATTTTTAATTTTATATTTACATTGAGATAAACTTAAATTGAAATTTTGTTATTCTTGTTTTATAAAAACTAGTCTATTATTTATATCCAAACTTCAACATATGTGGGAAAAAACCCTAAAAGCACAAGATACCTAGTCCTTTATTGGCTTAACTTTGGAAATGGCTTGTCAACACTCCATCGCCCTTACTAGCAAACTGTAGAAATTGTCAGCAAGCTTAGAAAAAATACAAATTGCTGAAATTTCAAACATTAACTGTCAAAGAAAAAGAATTTAATATGTGTCTATGACTAATTTTAAATATATCTTCATTTTACCTTTTACCTGACTTTCAAAAAATTATTTCTGATTCTTCCACCTAACTTTTACCAAATTCTTATAACTAGGATCATTCTTTGGATTCAGACCATCTCTCAAAGATCAGATAATTATCATTTATTATTGAGTACATATTATAGCTAGTACTTTAAATATATAGTATTCTATTTAAGTATTATATCCATCTAATTGGAGAGCAATTACTTTCCACATTTTACAGATAGAAAACTCAAGTTCTATAATATCATTTGTCTGATAAATGGCAAAATTAGATCTTCAGCCCTGTCTAATTTACTCCCAAATCCATTCATCTTTATCATACTACCTTCCCAAGGTCGCATTCAAGGGCTCTCACATTTCAGGGCCTGGAAGGTAAGATAGTGTAAAACTTCCATGTCTTCTTCTTCAAGAAATACTAAGTAAATTATCAGTGGGAAAACAGTAGAGATTGTATCATTTAAAGTTATTAACTACAATGAGGAAGATGAGAAGAGTTTCTAAGGGAATGAGTCACATCAGACATGATTGATAAAACAGAACGCTAACCAGGGAGAGACCTCTAGCTGTATCATCAAATGGAGGAGGAGAATCATGGCCGTAGGTGGACTCAGACATATTGCTCTGATTTCACAGTAGATTGCATGGCCAACCTTTATGTCCTACAAATGTATTTGTATGGATACTGAAGACCAAGTTATATCAACTTCAGTGCCATTGACATTTTGGCAGGAATATTCTTTGTTGTGGGAGACCAGCCTATGAATTGTATAATGTTGTGTAATGAATACTGCAAATTGTATAATGAATGCTGCATCCCTGGCTTCTACCACCTAGATGCCAGTAGCATCTTGTCCCCCAGTTGTCACAATCAAACATGTCTGCAGACATGCCCAAATGTCCCCTGGACAGCAAAATCACTCCTGGTGGAGAACATTGTTTTTCTCTATTCTGAGCATTGCTTTCTAGAATTATATATCTAAGAAATTTTGGGGTAAAGTAAGTCCAGTCTTATTAACCGCAGAATGTTATACATCATTTTCCAAAAAAAATATATATATATAGTTCAGAACCAGGGAAAATATTTTTACAAGTAGCCTGTGGCTCAGAGTTTGGTGATGGGCAGAACAGCAAACTAGGCAGATTATCCAAGAATTCAATTGGTGGGTGTGAGTGGAGCCCATTACAACTGTATGAGCTGAATATGCATTTTAATGTGCCTAATGATTTCTGAAAATCTTTTGCTATGATGCATTAGACTGGTCAATTTAAACAGTGATTGATCAAAGGAAAGAAATTGCATAGCCAATAAAATTGATGAAAAATGGAAAGAAATCAAGTACTAATCTTAGAAGAACTGTTTATGTGTAACGTCCTCAAGAAATACTTATTATGAAGACGTATTCACTGTGTACTGTTAATTGTAAATTAAGAGTATAATACATACGTGGTTCAGAAATGGATAACTTTAAGAGGTTGTTTTAGTGGCTGGTTAACCAAACATTTATTTTAATGAACGATTGAAGCTGCAAATAGGAAATAATCTTGTAGTTAGTGGGTTGTGCTTACTGTGACATTGTCCAAAATCAACTGCAGGTTAGCACTTGGTCATTTCTGAAACACTTTATAATGTGACAATAGTTTTGTGTAAACTCAAACAAATGTAAATCATTGTCTCAAGAGTCCTGTGAGACCTGTCACAATCTTTCCACCTGGACATCTTCTTTTACAGCCTCATTACACTTGCCAGTGATTCATGGGTGTTAGGCTTGACTGAGGAGGGTGGAAGGAGCTAAGGAACTCAGTATGCTATATTTCAACCATGCAAATGAGCATATTTCCCTGGGACTAGAAGGCAGCAATTCTAAAAGAAATGGATTAATCTTTGTCCATTCTTGTTATGCCTTTGTTGAGATTTTCAAAGTAATCCAAATACTTGAACAAGCATTTTCAGTATAGCATTGCATTATATCTTTAAAGCTGGACAGAGAAATTTTGAAGATTATCAAGAAATACTCTTATGTGGGGAAATCATAGGGACAATAAGAGGCAGGGGCAATGTGTACAGAATGGAAATAAATTAAAATCAACATCTGTTGGAAATCAGGTATGGCAAGTTGTGTCCTATAGCATACTCTTTGACCAAGTTGTGTGTCAGTGAAATAAATTCAATCTATTGGGATATAACAGGATCTAAGGCAACCCTGAAGTGATATTCATAACAAAGCACTCTTTCCTTAGATCAAGACTACTGATACTTTCTCTGATTATTTTTATTCCAGGCCAATGTCAGCATATATATATATATATATATATATATATATTTTTTTTTTTGGTGGAGGGGAGAAGACAAAGAAAAGGGAGGCTAGGATTCTCAACTCTACTAATAGTAAGCAAGTTGAGAAAACAATGTTTCATTAACTTTGTGTCTGCAGCCTTGTCCATACTGCCTTGCATATTTTAAATGCTGCAAAAAATGTAACCCAAGATCTGTGAACACCAACATTTTCTTTTAAAATTAAACTAAATTACTATATTTAAACATAAATAGTATTCTATCAGGCAGATTATCAAATCTGTTTAAAAATCATACAATTAACTCTCCATTAAAGCATTCAAAATCATTTTTTCCACAATGCCATTGTATTCAGGGCTTCTGATAATATAATAATGATACAATATATAAAATTAAGCTGAAAATGTGAATTTTCACGTATACAAAGATAAATACAAAATAATTTTTTTCATTTTGGAAAATATCAAATAGAATGTCTTTGAATTTCTAGAATACAAGAGACTTCAATACATAAGCAGATTAAGTATTATGGTTTTTTACTAAAGATAGCATTGAAAACCATTAGCAAGCAGGACATAAAAAGCTTATATGTATTTCTCACAAAGCTTAGGACTTATAATACCAGTGAAACATCTACTATTGTTAGCTAATAACACAAAAATATAAAATAAGTTTTTAAAGTATATGTTCTATCCTATCAAAAAATAGCATCTCAGATGAAATCAACATTTAAAAATAGCTATAGACAAATATAAGTAAAAACATAAAAGCTGACTTACACAAATCAAATTTGGCTCACCAGGTCAGAATTTTCTTTCTTATTTTTGGATTCATGTATCTAATTGCTGGTTGGTCATTACAACTTCTATAACATATGGATAGTTAAAAGTTAATATAACAAAAATGAGTTAATCAGTTTCCTTCTAAACTGGCCTCTCCTGAATATTTATTGTTTAGTGCCATCGTTTAGAGTAAGGTAAATCTGTTTCACTTCCTCTCACAAATTCAATGAATCAAATTAATCACCAGGTCCTGTTGATTTTGCCTCCTAATTTTTCACGTATTTGTTTCCAATTCTGACACCCTTATTGCCACTGCCCTGGTCCGAATCCTCTTTACATTTTATTGAAGCATCACAAGAGTGTTGTTACAAACTGGTGTTCTTAATTCTGAACTTGTTTCCTCAGTACCGTTGTGTATCTATTGTAGGTCTCACTGAGCCACTCCCTGGTTCAAAGTCATTCTGCAGCTACAGGGAACCATCAGCAGTGTGGCATCCTTCACATGCTAGTTCTCATTCCTTGCCTTTGCTCATGCTGCCACCTGCAGGTTTACTTCCCGCTACCCCAGCATACAGTCTATCATTTACAATTCTGCATTTAGTCTACTCTTTCTTGTCTGGACCATCAGAAAAAACGTGTGTCATAGCCATCTTTTATCCCAAGGGACTAGCATAGAATCTTGTTTGTAGTAGGTACTACTCAAAGATAAACTTAGACACATTAAAATTTTAAAGGGTTTATTTGAGCATTGAACGATTCATGAATTGGGAGCACAAGACTGCAAGCAGTTTAGCAGTGCTTGGTGGGGGCAGAGGCAGCAGCGAGAGAGGAACTTTTTAAATAATATTTTCATGGAAACAAGACAAAGGAAACATATTTCACTGGTCAGAGTGAAAAGTCCCTAGAAATTGGTTGGCAGTTTCTGATTGGTACACAGTCTCTAGTTTCTTTTTATTGTTTGCATTGGGCTTTGGAAAACTCAGGGGCTGCCTTAGCCTAATGGTCTCCAAATAAAATTGTTTTTAACAGTACTAAATAATTATTAAATGAGTTATCTGATCCATAATTGGCAAGCATGGTGATGGGCCTGTCATTTTAAGGATAACACTGGAAGCTTGAGCAAATAATCTCCCAAATTAAGTGGTTCAACAAAATAGAAGCTTTTTTCTTCACTCCCTGATAGCCCAACATGAGCCTTGCATGTGAGAGGGTGGCTTTCTGCCATCTAGGATCTAAGTTCCTTTCCTCTTGCAGCATTATCATTGCAAAGCGTCCTGAAATCTGCTTCTGGTCAGCAGAGGAATGGGAGAAAATCGAGACCAGTCCACTTCTTAAAAATCCCACATTAGCAAGAATTAGTCACAATGCCATGTCTGGATGTAAGTGGAACAAAGGGATATAGTCAATTTCTGAGAAGCTACTTCCACAAAAATTTCCTTTGTGTTAGTCTGTGGATAGATGGCCATCTCGACCACATGACTTAAGGAAGCAAGACATATGTATTGTATTTCAAAGGAAGCTAACATTTTCTGAATGTGTTGATAAAGAGTGGATTTCAGTTATTTGCAAAAGGACCTTTGGTAGAACAATGTATTACCAACAGCTCTGGAGGAGATTTGGGGTAGCATCAGCCTTGGGAATGCTTTTCTAAAGCAATTAAGCCCATACAACTTTGGTTTGGACCTCCAGTAAGTGACAGGACCCGCCCAATGAAATTAGGCATATGGAATATCTCAGATCTCCCTGCAGTAATTACATTTCACCTTCTTAAAACCAGATGTTCTCCAGTACAGGGATAGCTATGTGTTTGCTGAAGCAGGTGGAGTGTCTCCAAACAGTTCTACTTTTCAGTAACTACAATTTGGAATAAAAGAGGAAGTCTCTTTTCTACATTTCTAGTCCTCAAATTTTACTTATCAAAAACATCCTTTTTGAGAAAATTGCTAGATTTCTTCACATGAATAATCAAATAACTGTATCTGCATTTCCCCACACCTCCCCATTTGAAGCGTATAAAATTAAATGAAAAATTTACCCAATAGAGATAGGCAGGTGCTATATAAACACATCTGTAGGTCATTTAGAAATTACTATCATCACTCTTTTCATTAAAGTGACATGCATATATTTAGAAACTGCTTTTCAAAAACCTAATGAAAGACTGTCCTTGATAACTTCTCTATACATTCACCTATAAGGCATTAAATTCCTTCACATAATGAGCTTCAGGATCTTGGTGAATGGGGGAGCAAGTTTCAACTTGTGCTCCCATTTAATCAAATAGGTAGATTGGAACTTTATTCTATTTGCTTATATTATTTATGCATTTGTTGTCACTGCAGGTGTTTAAAGGTACTTCTTTCACATTTTTAGAGTATTAGACAGCTGGAAATATTCTAACATCACATTCCCATGAATACTGATATTATTTTTATTGTAATATAAAAGGAAATATATAGTTAAAGGCATATCAAAATTCAAACACTTACGAATGTAAGTTTTTCACTTGGAGAGTCTCAGGGCATCTCTATTGAGTTCATTGCATACTTTCTGCAAATCACTTGTGCTGACATGGTGTCATGGATAAAATCTAAATTTGTATATGAGATTTACAACAGCTGCTTTCTGAGTACTCAAAGTCTCCTTAGGGTCTGTCTTTTGGTCCTGTGTTCATGGAATCGCCGGGCTACACAGCACTGCACAGGAAGTAGAGATATAAACTTGTTAAGAAAATAATGGGTTTCTGTGATCATCTCAAACACAATTTCCAAACTTCATTCTCCTTGTATAGAGTTTTACATATGGTCATTTCATAGTGTGCGTATACTGAGAAAGATAACCAATGTACATAATTTGCTGAAGCAGACATCTGACAGAGGTAAATCAATGAGGTCATTTTTATATTGAAAACTGTGAACAAGTCCATGGAAACAAAATATAATGCAAACAGAATGGTAATGTCTGAAGAAAACACCTGTGGATTGCATCTATAGCATTTCCTGTTGAGCTGAGCTAAAATTAAAACCCCAAATACCCCCAAGTAATCCTTTCTGTAGCCACTGCTAACAACTTTCAGTGTCATTTAAAAAAAAAAGGTTTAGTCTTTATACAAAACATAAAAATCTTAATAAACTTTCCACTATTTATTATGTAAAGACTGTGGTATTTTGATTTGATATCTTTATTTTATTTTATTTATTTTATTTTTGAGACGGAGTCTCGCTGTATGGCCCAGGCTGGAGTGCAGTGGCTCGATCTTGGCTCACTGCAAGCTCCGCCTTCTGGATTCACGCCATTCTCCTGCCTCAGCCTCCCGAATAGCTGGGACTACAGGCGCCCGCCACCGCGCCCGGCTAATTTTTTGTATTTTCAGTAGAGACGATGTTTCACCGTGTTAGCCAGGATGGTCTCCATCTCCTGACCTCGTGATCCGCCCGCCTCGGCCTCCTAAAGTGCTGGGATTACAGGCGTGAGCCACCGCGCCCGGCCTTGATTTGACATCTTTATGTAGACAGTAGAAGCATTTGAGAGAGACTTCATATTTTATGTCTCTGGTTGTGTTCATTCTGCATTACCTTATCATTATAATATGTAACAACAGGTAATGCTAGAAAATGTTAAAACTGTTTTGGGGCCTAGCTATAACCCCTCCACTAAAATGGACATCAAAAGAGAGACTTATTTATGTTAAGGCTCTATTAAAATATATTTTTAAAGCACATGCTGTCTTTGTCTCATTAGAGTGATATTGCCGTTTTATGGCTAAATGAATGGTTTTTAAGAGTATCTACTCCACAGAAAGCACTCTACTATATCAATTTTTATTTCTATAGCATGTTTATTTTTACCAATTAAATCTGGCAGTACCATAGAAATGACAACAGAACTATGACAAAAATGTGCATTTATTTCTCATTTTTAGTTTACATTTCTGTTAAAACTCACGCCTGTTATATTTGAAGGTGAAAGTACAAGCTGGGTTTTCAAGAGGTGTTTTTCCTCAGTAGAATTATGTCACAGGGAAACACTATAGATATCCATCAAAGTGAAACCTACAAGGACATAAGAGCTCGTTATTAGTGAACATTGTTTGTAACCTTCAGAGGGCTTCAGCATTTCTGTCACAGAATGGCAAGCAGAATGAGAGATTAAAGCACATCATACCTCAAAATTAGCATCACTACATAAATTATGGCTTTTTATAAATCTAAAATGATCTATTTTTTCACTTTAAAGCAATGAATTACTACAGCCCCCAATCTTTGTAATACAATGTTACAGTGGGTTCAAGTTCAGTTAGGTCAATGCTGGCTTCAGGTTAACATTATTGATTGAAACTTGCTAAAGCATCCTGGCAGACAGATGCAATAACTTCGGTCAGGAAACGACGCCAAGGAACATACCCTTGTGGTTCTGATGCTTGTTCTGGATCATATGCTTGTTCCTACAACAACAACAACAACAACAACAACAACAACAACAACAATAAACTAGAAGAAATGAATGAGAAATAAGTTTAAGATTCTATAGCATTGGAAAATGGCACGATGTTATTTTTCACATCCTAATGCAAACATGGTTAGCATATTTGCAATTAGATCTTTTATGTTCTTAATCAATAGTTTTTATGAATGAATGCTTTATTTTTATTCACAATATTTAAAAAGACAAAGCTTTAAAAATATTTTGTATGATGAAGGTTTTTCTATTTAAAAAAATTATACTACCTAGACATTCTTGGTGGGTCAAGAATTGGGAGGGTTTTTTTTTTTTTTTACTTTTTTTTTTTTTTTAGATAATTCCCTGTTTAAAACAAGGTTGATGAGATGATGAGGCACATTAAAATGAAGGCTGCAATCAGCTGTAATGGAAGAGGGCTTTTCTCTTTGCCACCCTGACTGATACAGTTAATGTGTGCATCTATGACCTTGACAATTTTCAACAAACGTACTTGAAGTAAAGAGAACTATACTTCGGGCAAAATATTATAGCAATCAAAACCTTTGGTGGTTAAATTGACTAAAAATATTGGCCCATTATTCAATTTATTTTATTTCTGTTAGTAATAGCCTTGGTTGACAGAGAGATTACTGGGTGCTTTCACTGAAATGCATGGACAGAATTCAAGTTTAAAGAAAGTAATCCACTCCTGATTTTTTATGTATGTCATATCATTAAAATGACAAGCCTCTGTGTTGTTTGTTAGTTGTTCATTTACCTGTAGAAAGGTAGGCTACAGAGATGACACTTAAAATACATAAATGAAAAATTATTTTAAAATGGAGTAATTTTCACTCTATTTCAAGCACACATGCAGACAGACCTGAATATCCACTAAAATGTGTAAATTCTCACATTTAAAAATTGAACTTTTTCCTCTGTGAGAAGCTCTCAGGAAGATGAACATTCCTATAATTGAAATTATCATGTGCATTCTGACCCTAATTGGGCAAGTTTTATATTAGGTTCACACCACGCAATCATGGAAGCAATTATGAGCACTTGTCCTGGGGCTGCCATAGCCCAGGTGCTGCTGTCTGATTGTCATTTAGTAATTACCTTGGTACTTCCCAACTACTCCTTAGCATCAGTTAAGTGATGCAACATACTTCAAGTAAGTGAAGTCTTCTTAGAAGTACAAGTAAATACTTAATGATTTAGTTTGCTGCTTTACATAGGTGCTGTCTGTTCATCTGGAATGTGCAGATGTATCATGAAAATTAGCTTCTGAAAGACCTGCACAGAAGTCAAATTAGAGATATAATTTTTGCAAATAGCCACAGAGTGTCTTTTGAAATATGGAAAAATACCTTAAATAAAAGTGATGATTGAGGCATTGCCAACTTTAGGATTTTTTAAGTCTTTGAAGTCTGACTATGCAGAACAGATTGTAAATCTCTGGCCCATTACACACCTGCGGAGATTTTGGTGTTTTATTTCTCTTGGGTGAAACTGCAGAAGCCCAAACCATGTTAATCACTGTCAGAAGCAGTTGTATAAAATGCCAAAATGCAGTGAACCAAGTGTTTTATAATAAATATGACAATGCAGTCAGAATGTTGTTTTGTGAGGCTTGTTATTTGTGGTAATTTTTCATTTATAATCTTTGAAAGGAGAGATTTTTAAGGCTTTTATCAGGAAAAATTTAACCACAGGGGAGAAGTCACAATATTGCATAAATAAGACTCTAAGTGCTTGTATAATAATTAACATGAACAAAATTAATAAACTAACTTTCTAGTAGCATTTGTTTTAAATGACTTGAAATACCTGTTTTTTAAGAAACAATTTTAATATTAATGCCGAAATCTAAAATACTAAATCTGTCACTCAATGAATGACATATAATTTTTAATTAATATTCTCACTGTATAATTTTATGTCAATCTTTTATGTTTCTTTGTATTCATTACTGAATATTTGATTTTTACCAAATAGCATATATAATGATAGAGGTATGAAGAAAATAGTTTTAATCTTCTATTAGTGCTCTTATTTGAAATGAACATTGAATCAACTAAATTAAAAATTATTAGTTAACACAGCTATGTCATTGGCTTTTTCTTGCATAGTGTTCTGAAATGTATTTTAACTGATTTCTCAAATAAATATTTCTCAAATATTTCTGTGTCAAAGAATAAAAACATACCATAAATTGATGTGTCCAATTAATTATCGGTTTTGATATATAATATCAAAATTGATAATATATTTTAATATTCATATACCCTCTGATGAAATAATTTTAGTAGCATGTTATTTGAAAAACCATTAATATAAATCTAAACTTATATAAACCTAAGTCAACATTTATTTATTGCTAACCAACACACAAGTAAAATGTCTTTTTCAGTTCCATAAATATTTATTTTGTACCTATCTGACACTACTGTTAAATACAGAAGGAATGCAAACGAAATAGAATCCAGCCTCCTGGGCTACAGAATTTTACTTAGAAATGCAATAATACCAAGGCTAGATAAATCACCCTCTCTATGTGCTTCCACAATATTAAGACATTATTTTGCAATTGCCGTTCACTGCTTGGAGTCTTAAGATCAAAAAGTCCTTGAGTGGTGACCATGTGTATTTCCCATTATATTATTCATTCCCAGGAAAATGCCTGACACAAAATAAGAGGTCATTAAATATTTACTTAATGGGTTAATTAAATGCTTAAGTGCTATGGAAATTAGAAAAAGAATTGACATAATATGAAGTGCTTCCCGTATATATTTCTAAAGTCAGCACCGTACAGGCATACAATGCTACTATTGCCTACTTTTGCCCATTTTCATCCCTATGACTTGAAATGAAAAGGAGTGATGCCAAAATAAAAGTAATATACCTGTCTTTGTTCACCATCATCATGTGTTCAAAGTTTCTAGTACATATATATATATACATATATATGTGTGTGTGTGTGTGTGTGTGTGTACCACATAATTAGACACGCAGATACAGCTGAGAATCAGGAATCTGCAGTTAGAGATGACTTGAAACTGACAATATGACCTTCTCAAAAGTATGGTAAGAATTGGAATAGTATATTCTCATTTCAATCTTGGGGGATGTTTAGACTACAACGTAGAAGAAATAACTGAAGAAAAAACACTAATTTATTACACACAAAAATTAATTTTGGTACTTTTTATGGCCCCTTAGCAAAGATATCTTTCCAATAATTTTTCCAGTTACCAAGGCTATTATTAATTGAATTTTGTGTTTGACCAGAGCCCTTGAATACTTATAACTTTTCAGTTTCAAGGCTCTGGATGATACATCACTAACTATTGTTCAACCTTGATAGAGAGACATTGTATCCTTCACAGACCACTACCTTCTGATGATCTAATTTTATCTTCAACAATAGTTACAAGAAAAAGCAAAAAATGACAGTGTTGAAAGTGGTGTTTTAGCCATTATACACGTAAATGATTAGAGGGGAGTGGGCTAAGCATTGCGTGGGCCAATATTATTTCCAGATATTTCATTGCAGTCAATTCTTAATTTTTCCATGGTAATAGCATAAGCAGTTGGTATCAGAGAGAGGAGATGATGAGGTTGATGAGATTCATATGTGTGTATATATATACATGAATATTAATATATATTAATATATACCTGAATATATATATACCTGAATATATATATATACCTGAAAAAGTATCAAGCAATGTAAAACCTAGATTTATTTACCCTTCTTCACATATTTTAAAACACAAATATCTTCTAGAAATGTAAGTTTTAAAAAATTACTGTATGTCTCTCTTCAGGCATAATAATATATTTTATCCTGGCAGGAAAAATAATACGTTTCTAACTATTTTTGTGTAACATTTAAATGTAAACAGAAGAATAGAAAAGAGAATGTCATCACTCATTGTTTGCTCCCCATTTAAACACAACTAATTGTACCCTGTTCTGTCTCATTGCACCCTATTCTGTCTCATTGCTTACATTATCCACTGGTTGAGGATGTAGTACAATCCCTATTGCCAGTCCAACTCCATCAGGATAAAGAGACTAGGCCAAAATCAGATGACTGTTGTACTTTATCTTGGAGAAAATTAAAAAATCTAATGTATAGAAATAGCATTTCCAGAAGTGATTTCTTTCTTCTTATGTCTTCCTTCTAAAACGTTTACTGGTAATGAGTTCTTGTTAAGATTAAATACATTATTGGAGGAATTAAGAATTCCTTTAAAATCTTATTTCCAATTAAACAGTAACTTATTGCAGTGAAATTCTGTATATAATAAATAAGGGTAAGATTTTCAAGGATTAATGATGGCGAATTGTACCACAGTGCTCATGTAGTTTTTATTAAAACAGTATTTTTGCACACACAATCATGCATCACATAACATTTCAGTCAATGACATATCATGACTACATATATGATGGTGGTCCCAGAAGATTATAATGAGGCCCGGTGCAGTGGCTCACGCCTGTAATCCCAAAAGTTCAGGAGACCGAGTTGGGCGGATCACCTGAGGTCAGGAGTTTGAGACCAGCTTGGCCAACATGGCGAAACCCCATCTCTACTGAAAATACAAAATTTCGGCTGGGCTCAGTGGCTCATGCCTGTAATCCCAGCACTTTGGGAGGCTGAGGCGGGTGGAATCACCTGAGGTCGGGAGTTCGAGACCAGCCTGACCAACATGGAGAACCCATCCCTCCTGTATACTGTGAAGGAGAACTGTGTATGTAAAAACTTAGACATGGTAGATCTTGTGAAAATGTAAACATGTTTGTTCAACTAAAAGTTTTTTGTTCTCTCTGTTTCCTCTAATCTATGGAGGTATTAAATAGTATTATTTTAAAGAGGCATAGAAAAGTGCCTAGATAATCTGCTGACTTTATTACATCAGTGTTCAACCAACTGCTCAAGTGTCCCTTTGCTGAAGAAAAATTGATGCCACACAGCAGTCCTAAAGAAAATTACCACTGAAACCCTCCAAGATATTTAAGAAAAATTTGATTTTAAATGAACCCAAATATGTTTTGACAATATACACTTCATGAATGGAAAGAGATGTTTTTAATTAAAAAAAACAGCAAAATCAGAAGGATTAAAAGAGAAGATATGTTTATCCAAAAGGAATGTCAAAAACCCCGTGTCTACTAAAAATACAAAAATTAGCTGAGAATAGTGGCAAGTGCCTGTAATCCCAACTACTCAGGAGGCTGAGGCAGGAGAATCGCTTGAAACCGGGAGGGAGAGGTTGCAGTCAGCTGAGATAGCGCCATTGCAATCCAGCCTGGGACACAAGAACGAAACTCCTTTTCAAAATAATAATAATAATAATAATAATAATAATAATAATAATAATAAAATTTTAAAAAATAACTTGGTGTGGTGGCGGGGGCGCCTGTAATCCCAGCTACTCCAAAGGCTGAGGCAGGAGAATTGCTTGACCGCGGGAGGGGGAGGTGGCATTGAGCCAAGATCGCGCCACTGCACTGCAACCTGGGTGACAGAGTGAGACTCTGTCTCAAAATAAAATAAAAGAAAATTGAACTAAAATATAATGGAGCTAAAAAATTCCTATTGCCTAGTGCTGTCATACCTGTCATAAAGTAATAGCACAATGCATTACTCACATGTTTGTGTTGATGCCAATGAAAACAAACCTACTGTGTCTGCAGTTATATAAAGTATGGCATATACAATTATGTACAGTGCATAGGACTTGGTGATGATAGTAAACAACTATGTTATTGGTTATGTATTTACTATACTATGCTTCTAATCATTATTTTTGAATGTATTTCTTCTACTTATAACATTAATTACTGTAAAACAGCCTGAGGCAGGGCCTTCAGGAGGTGTTCCAGAAGAAGAGATTGTTATCATAGAAGATAACAGCCCCATGCATGTTATTGCCCCTGAAGACTTTCCACTGGGACAAAATATGGAGTTAGAAAGAAGTGATGCTGATGATGTCGACCCTGCAGAGAACTGGGCTAACGTGTGTGTTTGTGTCTTTGTTTTTAACAAAAGAGTTTAAAAAATCAAAACAAAATGAAACAAAAATTGTCGATAGAAATAAGCTTACAGAATAAGAATTTTTTTAAAAAAGTTTTGTATTTTATACAGGTGTATAACGTGTTGTGTTATAAGTAAAATGGTAGAAAAAAGTCAAAAAAATTCTAAAAGCATAAAAAGTTTATAAAGTAAAAACGTTACAATCAGCTAAGATTAATTTATTATTAAAGATAGAAAATTTTTTATATAAATTTAGTGTAACCTAAGTTTACACTGTTTCTAAAGTCTACAGAAGCATACCATAATGTCCAAGTTCTTCACATTCACTCACCACTCAGTCACTGACACACCCAGAGAAGCTTCCAGTCCTGCAAACACTATTTGTGGCAAGTCAGTACTCTACAGAGGTACAATTTTTAATCCATTGCACTATATTTTCACTGTACCTCTTCTATGTTTACATATGTTTAGATACACAAATACCATTGTGCTGCAACTACCTACAGCAGTCAGTGCAATAACATTCTGTACATGTTTGTACCCTAAAAGTAATAGGTTACACCATACAGCCTAGGTGTGCAGTAGGCTATACCATCTAGGCTTAGGTAAGTACACTCTATGGTCTTTACACAAGAACAAGAACAAAGGTGCTTAAGTATGCAATTTTCAGAACCTATCTTCATCATAATATTAAGCCACACATCACTGTGTGTGTGTGTGTGTGTGTGTGCATGGGGATATATATATATGTGTGTGTGTGTGTGTATATATATATATATATATATATATATATATATATATTCACTTACAAGTGGATTTTTTTAACCAAACCTGGATCTAAAATACAGTATTTACAGGATGCCAAATCTGCATATATGGAAGGCTAACTTTTTGTATACTTGGGTTCCAGAGGGCTGACTGCAGAATTTGAGTCTGATTTTGGTATGAGTTATGGAGTCCTGGAACCCATCCCTCCTGTATACTGTGAAGGAGAACTGTATATGTAAAAACTTAGACTTGGTAGATCTTGTGAAAATGTAAACATATTTGTTCAACTAAGTTTTTTGTTCTCTCTGTCTCCTCTAATCTGTGGAGATATGAAATAATATTATTTTAAAGAGGCATAGAAAAGTGCCTAGATAATCTGCTGACTTTATTACATCGGTGTTTGACAAACTGCTCAAGTGTCCTTTTGCTGAAGAAAAATTGGTGCCATAAAGTAGTCCTAAAGAAAATCACCACTGAAACCCTCCAAGATATTTAAGAAAAATTTGATTTTAAATGAACCCAAATATATTTTGACAATATACACCTCATGAATGGAAAGAAGTGTTTTTAATTAAAAAACAGTAAAATCAGAAGGATTAAGAGAATATATGTTTGTCCAAAAGGAATGTCAAAAGCAAAGATGTCTAGATGAAATTTATATATATATATATGTGTGTGTGTGTATATATATATGTGTGTGTGTATATATAGATATATGTATATGTATATATATGTATATATGTGTGTATATATGTATATATGTGTATATATGTATATATATGAGATCAAAATGTATGAATTTTATTTATATATTCTTTATAGTTATCCACACCCAATTTACAAGGTCATCTAGAAACAATTTTAACTAGGTAGAGGGCAATTAATTTAGACTGTGTTATACCCCTCTGGCCCACATTTATGATGTTCAGATATTTTGGGTCCTAATACTAGAAATTCAGTATTTTGCTTGTATTAGTCTCTTTTCATACTGCTATGAAAAAATACCCAAGACTGGGTAATTTATAAAGAAAAGAGATTTAATGAACTCACAGTTTCACATGACTGGGGAGGCCTCAAAATCATGGCAGAAGGTAAAGGAGGAGCAAAGGCATGTCTTACACGGTGGAAGGGAAGACTGCGTGTGCAGGGGAATTGCCCTTCATAAAACCATCAGAACTCATGAGACTTATTTACTATCATGAGAACAGCATGGGAGAAACCTACCCCCATGATTCTATTACCTCACACCAGGTCTCTCCCGTGGACACATGGGGATTATGGGAGCTGCAATTCAAGATGAGATTTGGGTGGAGACACAGCCAAACCATATCATTCTGGTCTTGGCCCCTCCCAAATCCCATGTCTTCACATTTCAAAACCAATCATGGCTTCCCAAAAGTACCCCAAAGTCTCGACTCATTTCAGCATTAACTCAAAAGTCCACAGCCCAAAGTATCCTCTGTTACAAGGCAACTAATGAGCGTGTAAAATCAAAAGCAGGTAAATTATTTTCTAGATACGATGGGGCTACAGGCATTGGTAAATACACCCATTCCAAATGGGATAAATTGGCCAAAATCAATAGGCTACAGGCCCCAAGGAAATCGGAAATTTAGTGCACCAGTCAAATCTTAAAGCTCCAGAATGATCTCCTTTGACTCCATGTCACACATCCAGGTCACACTGATGCAAGGGGTGGGTTCCCATGGTCTTGGGCAGCTCTGACCCTATGACTTTACAGGGTATAGTTCCCCTCCTGGCTGCTTTCACAGGCTGATGTTGAGTGTCTGCTGCTTTTCCAGGAACACAGTGCAAGCTTTGGGTGGATCTACCATTCTGGGGTGGCCCTCTTCTCACAGCTCCACTAGGCAGTGACTCAGTGGAGAGTCTGTGTGGGGTCTCTGACCCCACATTTTCCTTCCAAAATGCCCTAGCAGAGGTTCTCCATGAGGGTTCCACCCCTGCAGCACACCTCTGCCTGGACATCTAGGCATTTCCATACATCCTCTGAAATGTAAGTGGAAGTTCCCAAACCTCAATTCTTGACTTCTATGCACCTGCAGGCCCAACACCAAATGTAAGCTGCCAAGGTGTAGGGCCTGCACCCTTTGAAGCAACAGCCTAAGCTGTATGTTGGCCCCTTTCAGCCACAGCTGCCACACAGAGAACCAAGTCCCCAGACTGTACAAAGCAGCAATGCCCTGGGCCTGGGCCATGAAACCCATTTTTTTTCCTCCTAGGCCTCCTAAGCCTCCTGACTTGGGATGGGAGGGGCTGCTGTGAAGACCTCTGTCATGCCCTGTAGACATTTTCCCCATTACCTTGGTGATAACATTTGGCTCCTCATTACTTATTAAAATGTCTGTAGCAAACTTGATTTCTCCTCAGAAAATGTTTTTTTTTTCTATTGCATCATCAGGCTGCAAATCTTCCAAAGTTTTATGCTCTGCTTCCCTTTTAAACATAAGTTCCAATACCAAACCATATCTTTATAAGTTAATAAAATGTGAATGCTTTTAGGAGCAGCCAAGTCACATCTTGAATGATTTACTGCTTAGGAATTTATTCTGCCAGATACCCTAAATCATCTCTCTCAAATTCCAAGTTCCACAGGTCTCTAGGGCTGGGGCAAATGCTTCCAATCTCTTTGCCAAAGCATAGCAAGAGTCACCTTTCCTGCAGTTCCCAATAAGTTTCTCATCTCTATCTGAGACCACCTCAGCCTCAAAACATTCAACAAGTCTGTAGGATGCTCCAAACTTTCCCTTGTCTAGCTGTTTTCTTCTGAGCCCTCCAACCTCTGTTTGGTACTCAGTTCCAAAGTCACTTCCACGTTTCTGGGTATCATAATGGCAGTACCCCATCTACCGGTAACAATTTACTGTATTAGTTCATTTTTATACTGCTGTGAAGAAATACCTCAGACTGGGTAATCTATAAAGTAAAAGAGGTTTAATGGACTCACAGTTTCACATGACTGGGGAGGCCTCACACTCATGGTGGAAGGCAAGGGAGGAGAAAAGTCAATCTTACATGGCGGCAGGCAAGACAGCATGTGCAGAAAAACTACCTTTTATAAAACCATCAGATCTTGTGAGACTTATTCACTCTCAGCAGAACAGCAAGGGAAAAACCCACTCCAATGATTCAATTGTCTCCCACCAGGTTCCTCCCATGACACATGGGGATTTGAGGAGCTACAGTTCAAGATGAGATTTGGGTGGGGACACAGCGAAACCATATCAGTGCTAAATACCTATTTCTACTTCATTACTTTCTAGACTTTTGATGGTTGCTCAGGAAAAAAAGAAAAAAGAAAAAGAAAATCACACACACACACTTCAATCATTTATTCAACAAAATTTATTATAGGAGATTACTGTGTGTCAGTTACAGATTGCTAAATATGTGATTTAATACATATTTTCCTATACACTACATAACTATGTTTTATGCTTTATATAGAAGATTTGGGCATCTGCAAGGTAATAACAGGTATATTATCCACATTTTCAAGGAGAGAAAATTCAAGTTCGAGAAGTGGAATACTATGCCAAATTGATACCACTATATGATAATAGAGTTAGGCTTTGAAGCCAAATCTATTTGATTCCAATTAAATTTCTTTCCACTGCACAATTTCACTTTTTCTTCCTATCTCTCAAGAAGGAGCCTAAACACAGACAAGAATTGTAGAGGTGTTGATAATTGGCTGTAGCCTGAGGTCCCAGGGAAACCCTGACTGTATCAATGCTTCTGGAAGTCAATTTATAAATAAATAATCAAAATAACCTTGAAATTTTGATGCAGTAATTTCACTTGGAAATTATTACAAGTATGTAAAAAAGTTTGCTTAGAAGCTGTTCCTGCTCAGTTTGTCTTCCTTCCCAGTAAAGACAAATTCACTGTCTTCCCAGCTTCCAAGAAGGAACTGAAAGAACAGAAAACAAAACTTGAAAATGCCAACACGAACAAACGAACACATTTTGAATCAGAGGCCAGTTCAACTGATTTCTTGTGTATTAAAAATTAATGTACAAAGTGTTCTCTTCCATTGATTTATATGAATATTTTCATGACTTGGTTCCCAATTATTTCTCCAAATAATTATTAGCCCCTTCCCACTATAAACACTTCAATACCATTTTGTTCAGACAATTGAGGGTCATTTGTACAGTATATTATATTTGCACTAGAGAATAAATGTATTTGTGATTAATCCCTTGTTATTGTTTACATTTTAATAACCACATTTAAGGGTACCTAAGTAAACCTAATAACTAATAGTCACTGGATACATATGATCAGTTTTTATGCTAAGCATTTAATATGCATTATGTAATTTAATCTTTACAGCAACAATATGAAATAAGTACTATTATTATCAATTTAACAGATAATAAAACTAATCATTGTCAAAGAACACCCAAGTTCCTTGGACTCTAGATCCTCTAAAGTAAATTGTTTTGTGTTTTAGGAGTACTCTTAAAAGGCAAACTGTGTTTTGTCATACACCTCTCTAAATTACATGCATGTTACCAAACTGCACTTGAGTTTTAACATAACATTACTAACTATATCCCAATGGGATTTAATAACTGAAGTAATACTGCAAATTTTTAATACAACCTCACAGCAGGGACAGTGAGAGAAGGCTTTTGTATAATTAGCTGCAGAGTTAACTAATAGGTTGATTAATTTAAACTACTTGAAACATCATTTTATTAATCTCATTGGAAATGTAGCAAAGGAGGAAAAATTAGAGTACACCATGTTAAGAATGTAATATAAAAAAGAAAAGCTCTTAAAACTAAGCCATTGAAACTAATAGAAAGTATTCAAGCAACTAAAAATTTAGTAGTAATGCTTTAATGGATGAAAAATAAACTGAATATTACAAAAATAAGCATGTGTATTCTGAAAAATGGATACACATGATGGTTTACTATTTATTTGGAACTTGCTGATGTTTTCTTAGTTCACTAATGCGACATCCTGATAATATTTTTAAAGGAGATCATTGTTTGGCTATCCCATTTTAAATATCAAAATTACAACTCATGCTATTTGGACTTCATAAGCAACATTTTAAAGTTTATACAATTGAGTAATTTTGCTTTTAAAATGAAAAAAAGGCTTTTAAGGGAATATTTGATTTAACATATTAATACAATGCCAGAAAGATAACGGTTTTCAATGAACTAAAATAAAAGATTGTGTTTTAAATATCATGGATCAAAATATTAATATCTACTGAAAATTCCTTTAAGCAAATAAGTACTTCACAACATTAAAACATTTATTAAATTCATCAGATCTTTACATGGAAAATGCTTCCTACATAACAGAATCTGACCTAGTTTACATTAAATTTGCTCTTATTTTGTTTCTTTTCTTTCCTTGTAATAAGAGCTTATACTAATGAACATGATAGTTGGTTAATGAAGAATGCATTGCCTATTTAGCAATATACATATTTATGCGACCTTCTTTTGTTCATAAATGCTAATATTTATTGCTTCTTTGTTGAGGTTTTATTTTGTGCTTTGTGACAAACAAAAGTATGATTAGTGAAGCTGTAAAGTTCTCATGGTAGCTGCCTGTGTTCCCAAGATAGCGGAATTAGTGTCTACAGAAGCAGTTAATGCTGTTTATCATTAGTGACAGAGGCTGGGAAGGACCTTCTGTGGCTTTTATCTTTCACCTTGCCAACGGAAGTTGATGAGCTTTCTGATTTAAATTCATAGGTAATGCTCCAGGATTTATATGCACTTCACATGGACAACCTCACAGGTAAACCTATCCTGCTGATGGGGTCTCATTAAAATCATTCTAACATTCTAATACTGGACATCCTTAGGAAAACCATTAGTTTATCCATATTTAATGTCAAAGTTGCCCAATGGAAACATGAAATATAATACAGCTTATGAAGAAATTATCTCATTTCTGCTTTAAAACAGTTTATTGCATTAGGGTGTGACCTTTATAGGTGTATACTGACTAATGAACATAAGGCACATTTTTATAATGAAAACACATTTTTAAAAGTTAAAGTTAATAGCTACAGGAGTTTTGAAATAAAGCAAGACAATTACAATGAGGTAGCACACTTGAATGACACTAGTCTGTTTTTTCCACAAAATACATCTTCCAAAATGTGGGCCCAGGGAGCGATGCGAATTACCATCAGAAAATCAAAATTCGATGTCAGATTTATTTGAGAATTTGAGTGAAAGTTTAAACAGTTTTTGGCAGTACATGATAGCTTTGTAGCTAAGATAGTAATGAATATTGTGACTGTCTAAATGAATAGTATGGTAATATTTCCTAAATTTTTCAGGAATCATTTTTTTTGCAGCTAGTTTTCATGAAATTATATTAGAAATATTTTCTATCATTGTGAACCACAATGTAAAATACTTTAAAATTTAAATTGGAAAAATCTTCATTCACACCAATAGTCCTAAAAATTTGAATGGTTTTCTTTTGTCCTCAAAACAAAATCTGTGCTTTTTAATATGAAGTATAAGATCTTACTTGGACCAGGTCTCTGTCTATCGTAGCCCTCATCACTCTGTTCTGTGCTTAAGCCACTCGTATATTTATCTTCCTCAAGGACGCAAAATGTTTGGCACCTAAATATCTTTATTTTGTTCCTGCAGGAGGCTCTCTTTCCACCTCAGTGTCTTTTTCTTCTTCAGAGAGATCTTCCACCCTTGTCTTTTCTAAAGCCTGCTGCTCCTACTGATAACTATTTCAGCACTCTACGTAGTACTTTGCATCATTTATGTGTTTAGTTTCGTTGGTGGGTGAGAGACAGTAAGCTGCATGAGGACAAACCAAATCTATTTATCTTGTTCATTGCTGAATCTTCAGTACTTAGAATGATGCCTGCTACAAAGTAGTAGGTATTCTTTATGTATACCCTTGAATGAATATTCACATTTCTCAGCGAAAATGAAGAAAACTGAGTATGAGAGGGAAGTTCTCTTTTTACTTTCATTCTGTTCTAAAAGACAATGAACTCTGGGGACTTGAGGGAAAGGGTGGGAGAGGGGTGAGGGATAAAAGACTACATATTTGGTACAGTGTACACTGCTTGGCTGACAGATCCACCAAAATCTCAGAAATCACCATTAAAAAACTTATCTATGAAATGAAACGCTACCTGTTCCCCATAAAATTATTGCAATAAAGTAAAATAAAATAAATTATAAAAATAAAGTGACAAAAACCCAAATAAACTCAGTTATTTTCAAGAAATAAATCGTATTGACTAGTATTTATTAGAAGCAACCATCAATGTAGTATATGTAATGTATCATAAGATGGTATTTTAGAGCTATTACTAGTGAAGATAATAAGATGCAATAAGATGAATGGCTAAAGTTTACATTAGGTAAATCAAGCACCGTGGGTTAGTAACTTCTCATAATAATATGAGGTGGATTGAATATCCAAAAGCAACAAAAATATTACCATTGTAAACTCATTTATGTTGATCATAATTTCATGATGATTGCTTAAGTGTTTCCAAGTAGAAAACATGACAGCTAAAAATTATACTGAAATTCGTCATCTTCAATAGTTTTGGATGCATCCAAAACTTCTTTTTAAAGTAATTCAATTCTGTAAGTGTAATGCTATTTGTTTTAAACTGTAGAGTTTAGATGAAGGTAAAAATAAATGTTTTATAGTTTTCTAAGTAAATAAAGAAAAAGAACTTTGAAAGTAAAGGTCAGGTGTTTCATTTCCCTTTAGAAGCTGATCTGAGTTCATTCTGAGACTGGTTTTTAGGCTTGAGAAATTTACATGAGGGAGGCAAACTCTTTGACTTTCATGTTCAACTCTCCAAACATTGCATTTTAATGCAATTTTCCTCTTGCTTTAATGATATCAGCTGTATAATCTAATTTCTTTTTGCAAGGGAAAAGCATCCCAGTAAAGAGAATAGCCTTCAGTAATAACAAGACACTCCACAAATCAATATTGTACCCTTCAAAGGGATCTGAATTCACAGGATCAAGTAATTGTGACCCACAAGATTGTTTCCTTTTTTCATCAACAAAAATACATTTTATTCAAGTTGTTACATTTTGGTGCTCCATTAAATTCATTTTGTATTACTCGCAACTGTTGCACTATAAAGACTAAAACAGTGGCTTTTATTCTATAACTGGAGTTGATGCCACATTCAGCTTTCATTATTTCCTCTGACCCAGCTTATTGTCTGACATCTTTTGAAAAATGCACATTCTACGCAAGAAAGCTTTAGCAAACATTTCTGTTTTTCAATGACTTTGACAAAGTCTGCATGAGTATTTCTGAAAAACATGTCCAATGACAAGCAAAGAGTTTGATATCTTTTCAAAGAGTAGAGTTGAAATTTCTTCCCCGTACTACATAAATCATCTTGGTTATCGCATGCATATTAATATAGATTATTAAATGTTAATTACACCTTTCAGCAGTATTCAAGTTAAGAGCATAAAATATTTCCTGAAACCCACAAAAAATAGGAAGCAAAGGAAAAGAGCCAGCTGATCCAATACCAATGATTTAGAATCGTGACACCTTTTGAAGGTAATGTTAATATGGCATACTAAAGGTAATCATAAGATTTTTTTATATACACAATATATAAATGTTGCTTTTTTTGCCTTATAGTTCATGTAAATTTAAGGCTAAAATACATTTTATGGGACTCAGAATAACAGTGTCTAGCATTTTAACACAATCTTAGAGTGTAGAAGTTAATTTACATACATATTATATGAAGCTATTAAGATATGCATATGTAATGTGGAACCCAATTTTTAATTATTAAGAATGTTAATTTCAATTAATATATTTTTAAATACAATGATATACTTGAAATAATGCCAATGTTTGTATTATTTTTTCAAGTGTACTTTTTCTTCTTCTGTTTTTGAAATAGAGCACAAATATGTTTATCCAATTAAATGACAAAAACCCAGGTAAACCGTAACATGTTCATATTTTAATACCAAATTAAGTGTAGATATTTGTGAATAATTTGTTTCCTCAATTCTAAATATCCTCCATTTCCTATTTTCTTTTGATTCAGATAATCAATTACTTTTTTTAGAATATAATTACTAAGATCACAGTAAAATCATAAGGAGCTGTAAAAAGTATATCATAGATTTGATTCTAACTAATTAAAGGAAGTTAAAATAGCACAGATAAATTTCACATAATAGCAACACAGTACATTTTTATTTATTGTATTAATGTAATCTTAAAAGTAGAAGGGAAGAATATGAGCTTCCAACTACGAATGATATTTTAGAAGAGAAACACAAAGTTAGAAAGTGTAGCTATGAAATCGTTAAATTAACAGAGCTAGTATTTACTAATAACCACTTATACCCATGTATTTTATCCGATATATGAAGATAGGATATGTGTGTATGTGTATGTACGTGTGTATTGCATATATAGAGAAGTGATATAAAGCATGCAAAGACAAATGTGGCTGATTGGAGCTGATTTCCGTAGTAACACATTCTGCAGGTTTTGGAATAAAAATAACAATATTGTGAATAATGATCAACTTTATTCTTATGTTTTCTGCTGGTTAGGCATTACATGTAATTGATGAAAAACAAACTTCATTTTTGTACTGAATCTGTGGAATTTTGACTTCTGATCCCTTGAGAGTTGATACTGATGGTAGAAGGATGAAGCCAATAAATTTGAATTATGTATGTTGCTTTATATATATATATATAAAGAAAATATATATATAAACTGTATATATAAAGTATATATATAAAGTGTATATATAAAGAATATATATATAAAGTATATATATATAAAGATTTTGTTGGCAATTTATTTTTAAGACTGTAGTAACAGGTTCTAATATGTAGCCATTCCTTATTTTTTTTTTTATTAAAAGCCACATAGCATTTTGCCAAAAGTTTTCTTGCAGCAAGATATGATTATAATAATAAAGTATATTTTTAGAGTTTATACACTATCCACCTCCTAAAAATATTGAGCTCCTCAGTTTCAGCTGTCATCTTAACTTTCACCAGCCTGAGCAGGGCTGCAGGATGTGGGATGACTCCTCAGCATCCAAGGGCCTGATGTTGTAAGGATGTCTCTACCTTTGGCCTTGTGTTTGTCCTGCACTCTAGAACTTCATTGCTATAGAGTGCAGGACACACTGACATGCCAGTATGTCAGAAAGGCTCAGAAAAACCATTCTCAGGAATCATCACTCTAATCAGCAGAAAGCCCCTTCCATGTAGCTATTTAAACTCACCAAGCCTTTTTTTTTTAATGTCATGACAATTGGTGCTAAAAAGTTAGGTGTGATCAGTTATGAAAAAAGAATCAACTCTGAAACACTGCAGTGTGACTATCAAATAATTATTGTATAATTGTACACATCCTTGGAGACTTACTGCAGTGGTAATTCTTTATTTATAAAACAAAAATAAAATGAGCTAAAACAATAAGAAAAGCAAAAAAACATAAACAGAATAAATTGTACTCAAAATAAATTCTGATCATTCTAGGCTAAGGAGGTATTGGCAGAGAAGTGCTTATATAGTTCTAGAACTCTATGCTACAAAAAGGCCTCTATGAGGTGTAAAGAATAAGCGTAGAGAGAAGTCTGGGAGTTATATTAGATAATAAGCAGTGGGCACGCTCCTTAGATAGGGATGGGATAGGAGTCAGGAGAAGGACTTTAAGAGCAATACCAGGTGAAGGATTAAGCCCTATTAATAGTCTAAAAGCAGTTTTCTTTCTTAACTCATTCTGCTTCCTGACTCATGATTACCGCATATTTACCTGATACATCATATATAACATCTTATTCGCCAAACAAAACAAGTTATTTATTTTAACTGCATCTGTTTAATAATTATTCCAGGATATTTGCTTCTTTGATTAGATATAATATTTTCTTAGAGCATAACAATACATACTCAAATCTATGCAGATCACTCTTAAAAATTAAAATTTGAAGGAAAATACAACTTTTCAAATGATCTTATATTTTACAACATTATTGGTATATACTAGTTACTCAGCTATAATAATACAATAGAGACAGAAACAAATATTTGACAATTTTAAAAGAAAATGAAGAAATAGTGAATTTATTATACTACCATATTCTTTAAAAATTTTATCGAAAAACTACATCAATAAAACTGCCAACACTTACGAGTGCTGTTAAATCAAACTAAATATGGCCTGAGAAAGCCTCTGTACTTCCATATTTGAGTCCTTGTGGACCAACTGTAACCTAACTTTGCAGGTAGACAATGCTGAAAACCTAACTTAGGAGTACACTACTGTAACAATAGCTGAGTCTCAGCTAATCCCAGCAGCCATACTTGAACCACTCAGACACTGCTGACTGTTCAAACTGTGTTCAAATAAGGCAACCTCCAAGCTGTAAACAATCCAGCTGTTCCTGCATCTCACTTCCATCTTCTGTATGTCACTTTCCTTTTGTTGTGTATAAGTTTGCTCTGACCATGAGGCATCCCTGGAGTCTCTCTGAATCTGCTGTGACTCTGGAGACTGCCTGATTCGTGAATTGTTTTTCTTGTTTGTTTTTTGTTTGTCTTGCTCAATTAAACTCTGTTAATTTGTCTGAAGTTTTCTTTTAACAGTGCTAAAATTAGACAATTTCAAAAATATGAAATTAGATAATTTCATTAGATAAATTGAATTAGATAAATCAGAAAATTAGAAATATATCAGTCATATTTTAAGCATTTCATACACAAGATTGTGGAAAAAAGTTAATATAATACTTTATACATAAAACCATATATATATATGTATATATATATATATATATATACATATATATATACATATAAACATTTACCACCATCCAGTTAAATAACTGACCACTAACCATTTCATTCAATTATCCTCATTTTTCTCTCCATTGGAATTCTCATTCCTCCCAAGGTTAACCAGTCGTTTGAACATTTTTATATCATTTATTTTCTTTTCATTATTTATACAATATATTTAAACTTTTTATGATTTTAAATTTTATATAAATGATTTCATATTGTATACATTCTTCAATACTCACTGTTCCTCCTTTGATATTTTGTTTTCAAAAAAGTTCCATTCCTTTGTTGATTTCCACCACTATATAGTATTTTGTTTAATGAATATAACTTACCACTATTTATCATTTCTTCTTTGATGAATAATTGAGTTATTTCTAAGTATTTTTCTTTTAAAAACTGTGTTTCTCTGAAAAGACTAATAAATATCTCATGATCATGTTGTACATGTGCAGTAATTTCCAGGAATGAAACTGCTGGATTAAATAATTTGCAAATATTCAAATTTGCCAGAAAAATTCAAATTGGTTTCAAGGAAATAATACCAGTTTACACTTCCACCAATGTTGCATATTCTACTTCTACATTCTTGCATATTCTTGTTATGGTATCTTTTAAATCTGTACCTGTCTGAAGAAAGAAAAACGACATCCCATTGTTATATATTTTTTGCTGATTATGTAGAGAGTATCCATATATCTTATAGAATGCACTGCTGAAATGCATGTGTGCATTTTTCACCATTGGGTGTTAAATTTTTCTTTTTTTTCTTCTATTTTTTGTTTTATTTTTTTAAGATGGAGTTTTGTTCTTGTTGCCCACGGTGGAGTGCAATGGTACCGTCTTGCTGCAACCTCCACCTGCGGGGTTCAAGCTATTCTCCCGCTTCAGCCTTCTAAGTAGCTGGGATTACAGACACCCGCCACCACGCCCGGCTAATTTTTTTGTATTCTTAGTAGAGACGAGGTTTCACCATGTTGGCCAGGCTCCTCTGAAAGTCCTGACTTCAGGTGATCCGCCCGCCTCAGCCTCCCAAACTGCTGTGTTTACAGGCGTCAGCCACCGCGCCCGCCCTCCTTTTCTTATTGGTCAGAAGCTTATTATTCTCTGTGTAATATTTTGTCAAAAAAAATGTGTGTGTGTGTGTGTGTGTGAGTGTATACTTGTGTGTGTATATATATATAACAATTATATAATTTTCCATGGGTATGTGGCTTTTCTTTTTATACTGCAACCTTTGATAAACCTTTATAAACAAAAGCTTTAAATTTCAAATTACTGGAATTTATTGACCTTTTATTTCAGGAAAAAAGAAAGATTATATACCCAATTGCATATAAATATATAAATGTTTTCCTATATCCTCCAATAAAGCTTTGTTTACTTTATTATTTATTTATTTATTTATTTTCTTGAGATGGAGTCTCACTGTGTGGCCCAGGCTGGAGTGTAGTGGTGTGATCTTGGCTCACTGCCACTGCCGCCTCCAAGGCTGAAGTGATTCTCCTGCCTCAATTTCCTGAGTAGCTGGGACTACAGGTGCGCTCCAGCACACCTGCTAATTTTTGTATATTTAGTATAGATGGGGTTTTGCCATGTTGTCCAGGCTGGTCTCAAGCTCCTGTCCTCAGGTGATCCACCTGCCTCAGCCTCCCAAAGTTCTGGGATTACAGGCGTTAGCCACCATGCCCAGGCGACACACTGTTTATTTTTTATTCATTTACATTTGCAACCCTTAACCAGTTAAGAAAAGAAACAATGATATGCTGAATTTTTCAAAACAGAAAAAAATATATGTTGTTTGGGAGGAGAGTGAGCAGGGAGGGAAAATGTATAGATTAACTGATAGTAGGGGAGAGAATCATAGACATGGCTCATTTGTTAATGTTTAGAAATGCATGTCCTATGGCCTTTTGCAAGTAAATAAAACTTAATCATGGATATGTTTTGGTAAATAACTTATTCATCCTTGTTTTATGAGGTTGGGCTATGATGTAGTAAAATCTATCAAATAAATAATAGCACAGGAAAGAATTGAGTTTTGGCAGGTTCATGTTGTTAAGAGCAATTTATTTGAGTGATCCCTATTTTTTTTCAGTGGAGAGAGAATATATTCTTTTTTAATTATGTTCAACATTGATTTTTTTTTTCAACCGAAAATACCCTTTGAGAAACACTTTGCCTTTTTACAGGAGTTTATTATGTTTTGGACATAGAAACATAACAAACACCTGTAAAACAGCAAAGTGTTTCTCTCTCTCTTTTTTTTTTTTTTTGGAAACTAGATGCCTTAAGATTGTATAAATTGAACATTCTCGCTTTGACATAAAATTGGATGTTATTCTGAAAAAGTTTCTACTGAGCATAGTACACATATTCATTTTGCATGTTACATTCATATCATGTTTTAAGAATAAATGAAGACATTCTAATTTGCATTAACAATTATATTTAAAACAAATAAATATAGAACAAAGTACCATATGAACAATCATGCAGAACAAAGTGAGAAGCTATGTTTGAAGGAATCTCGGCTTTCCCCTAACTACATACTACTTTATTTGCATCCTTGCCATCGTACTCACTAGGCTGCAGTAAGCAGAGACCACAGGCCTCTGGAGGTTTCAGGAGTGATTTCATACCTGTGTATAAATTCAAGGTAGCTAATTATTTTGAAAGTCATTTTTGGTGGTGGTTACTTTGAGAGATATGCACTTAGTTGATAAACCATTTATAAATAGGTAGAGATTGTAGGGAACGTGGTCCAACCTTAGCAAAGAGAATACAAGAAAGTATAAAGTATTAAGGAGAGCAGGTCCCATCCTGAAACTGGAGAATGGGAATTGGGTGGGGAGAACAACTAGATAGGGCAACTGAGCAAGCTAAGAAATTCACAATTAAGGCAGTAGGGTGAGACCTCTGAGTGACCATTCCTAAACTAGCAGGTTGTCTGAAGACCCAAATTCTTGGTTCATCCTTGTCCATGTGGGATGCTTGCTCCAGCTAGAATATAAAAACAGAATTTCAAACCTGGGCTGTGCTTCTCACTGACAGTGTGCGTGTTGTGGGCAGAGTACTTAAACCTTGTTGTGGGTTAGTTTTTGTATTTGTTGACTAGAGACTGAAATACTTACCAGGGTTGGAAGGATAATTAAAAGAGACAATGTAAGTGAAAACACCGTGAATACTACCTTTTGCATGTTAAGGATTACTACTAAAGTGTGAGAATGAGAAGGGAGGAATTGAGCACACACTTGAGGGAGAAAATCTTCATATTTGCCAGAAAACACAGAAAAGCCCAGGACAACATGTTTCCCCATTTGCATCCAGTATGAAAGGCAGGCATTTCTCATATGTGGAATATTCTCATAGGTGGAATAAAAATCATTCCCTTCAGTATGTTGTATCTTTATTTACTTGTCCCTAACTTTACCCCACCATATAAACAATAGCAGTTCCACAGGCAGGCTAAGCCTCCTGGCTCAGTCTGGGTTCCTAAAGCAATCTCTCTGAGTAAGGAATACTCTGGGAGTTAGGAGAGAATTTGTCTCATGGAGCCGCTGGGGGAAAAGGTACACAAATTAAAGTTTTGTTGAAAGTAGCAAAAAGGGATGGAAAGCTGGTCAGGCTACAGACCATGCCCATTACACTATATTTAGTGTAGGTGTTTGGAAAAGTAATTTTTCCCCCTAAATCATTCATATAATTAACTTCTGTTTTGCATGGGATATTCACTGGAAATTTTTTAAATAGATAATTTAGAAAAAATAAGCAAATACGAGTTAGTGTAAATACAATGTAAAGTTATACATCTCATTAATTCTGTTAAATTGTTTACTTTCCTTCTTTTTGCTACCTAGAAACACAATCCTATCACTATTGAACAGAGTTGCATGCCTTTTATTTAGCTAAAGTTGGTGTTCATTTTATTTTCAAGTGGCAAATATGTATTGATGTAGATAGGTCTTTTTTTAAAATCCTGATACTGACAAATAAACAACAGAGTGGATAAAACACTGAACTCTTGTATAACTTTCTGCAGGCAGTTCTCTGAAATGGAAAATTTATATTAACTGGTTCTATATTTTAATGCGGTTTTATATATGAAATATACTAATTTCAGATTTCAGATTTTAATATTTGCATAGATTTGCTATTATTTTGAAATATATGTAGTATTATTTAGTAGTATTCTAAATGATTACATAATTTAATGTGTGATCATTTTTTCAATACGATTACATTTCTTAGTAATTGTGATTTATGGACACAGAAATTTAAAGATGGAAGCCTAGCTATAGCACTCAAGTCCTATAGCACCCAAGTTCTATAGCACCATAAAGAATCTAAATATAGTTCCTTTGCTTTAATTCTCATCTTTAGTTGCTGAAGAAACAACTGATGTTTTTAAGTTAGATTATCTGCATAAAAGAAGCTGCTCTCAGAATAGAATAGATTATTTTCTTAGAGACCCTGACATAAGTCCAATAATGTACAGGCAAATGTTTAGTTAACTGGCTCTCCAGGGAACCAGGCTGCATTGCAGTGGTGCCATCACAACCTACTGCAGCCTCGACCTCCTGGGCTCGAGCGATACTCCCGCCTCAGCCTCTCAAGTAGCTGGGACTACAGGAGCATAGCACCATGCCTGGCCAATTTTATTTTTTGTAGAGATGAGGTCTCACCAAGTTGCCCAGAATGGTCTTGGACTCCTGCCAATAACTGTTTGTTGATGATGGAGGAAAGAAGAAAAGAAATCATAGGAGACTTTGGCAGAGAGGATGAGAATTAATTGTTTGGCCTGGGATTCGTCACAATAATATGTTTGGCCATGTGGTTTCTCTTGGAACATTTTATCTCCTTCAGGAAAGAAGCGGGTTACTAGTTTATTTTCACAATTGTTGAAGCTTGCAAAACTGTGATTTTGTACATTAAAAAATCATGTTTTCAGAAACAGCTACATATGTGTGTGTCTGTTTATGTATGAATGTACGTATGTATTTTATATATATGTCATCTTCTTGATATGGCAATACTCCTCATTTTAATTTTTTTCACAAAACCAAGGGAAGCAGTGCAATGTGTGGGATACACAAGCTCTGATTATGAGGAACAACATATGCTAGAATGATTAATGTTTTAGCTAGTCCAGACTTACCATAGCCAGGAAATTCTGGCCAATTAAGGAGGAAAAGAGAGAACCATCAATTAAAACAAAATTGACAACCTACCCACCTCCACCATTAAAAAAAAACACAGAAAAATCATATTCATCCATCTGGTTTATTTTTGAAAGGTATGAAGTAATTTTTCCCCTGTACACATTATGATATCTAAGATGTGTTAGATAGATCTTACAGAAAGTTACCATCTAAAAAACAAAATATATTTTAATGAAAGCACTTAATCTAGACCATCTGGGGGTATTGGATAAATGGAAATTCCGAAATCCTCTCTCCTATGATCGGAGAGAGCTAGGGTTTCCAGGACATTGTGGGTATCTTATTGGGTTATATTTAAAACAAAGTCTGTACATTCACCCTTATTTAAAGTAACGTTTTGTGATGCCTTCTCCTGGGCATATGTCACTTATGTGCATTTCTATGGCGCCATAGAGTAATTGAATAGAATGGTCACTCAAAAGTAGTTCTAGAAGGCCCACTTTGCACCCACAATTTTGCTTAGTGAAGTACTCTTAAATCAAAAGGAAGTAAAAGGGGATGCTGGTGAGTATAATTGTACCAAAAATATTATGCCATAAATAGTGTAACAAGTAGTATGGAAAATGCTGAACAGCATTGAGTAATTAAATAATTGTCTTCATTTTAAAGGAGACTAGCAGTTGCAGAAAATATGAGGAAAACATGACATTGGAGTTACAAGACATCTAGGAAGTGGCCCGTATAGCTGTTGATAATGAGCTAGCTAATTTATTATGTTATTTTTCTGTATCTATTCTACATAATACATTTCTCTCTGTATTCTGTGTTAAATATTTGATATATACCATATAATGTGTATTCAAATTCAAGTCCCAATCTCTCTGATCAAAAGAGACTATCTGTACCACTCATGTCCTTCTTTTGCCGAGTTCTTTATAGTTACTAGAGACATTTCCTATATTTTCTGATTCTCCTTAACTTTTCCAGTAGTTTTCCTTTTTCTTATTTATGATTTTTTTGTATTATAAAACTTCTAGATCCCATGTAATGTGTGTGCAATCAAATGGAAAAACAATGGATTGCCTTCTGAATTTCAAGGCCAGGTATGCAGCACTGACTATTCATTTGATATTTGCAAAGTACGTTGACAATAAATGCTTAATGTGTTATTTCTACTCTTCCTATTTAATGATTTTCTGAAGAGAATTGTTGATAAAAGGGCAAGTAAATGTTAAAAATGTATGCATATTTTACAATTCTTGTAGAGTAAAAGAACAAGTCAGCATCCTAATTTCATGAAGCCACAATCGGCATAGTAAATCAAACTAGTGAATATACATATAAGAAGGAATAAAAGAATTATATAAATATGAAAAACACAATAAAAAACAAATTATAATGGTTTGGCTTATACATTTGTTCATCCAGATAATATTTATATAATGAATTTCTAATGGGAGACCTCATGCTAGATTCTGAGGATTTAAAAAAATAAGTTAAAACATAGTTCTTTGTTTTTCCATGGAGAAAGAATTAACTCTCCCTGACTGAGGCTTCAGTTCCATTTCAAAAAGACATAACCTTTAAAATCATTGGTTAACTCTTTGTCAATGTCCCTAACTTACTTAATCAATTGCACTTCAATCGTGGTTCTTCCTGATTGTTTGCTTACTTTTTTCCAAGGTATTGAAGTGTAAAATCACACATTTCTGTCTTCATTGATGCTGCTATATATCTATATCTCAGCTTGGCCAAAACTTTCTCTGAACTCTGCTACAGTCTAACACTCTTGCTATGTAACTCTCCTTCCTTATCCTTCTAGGTGTAGGAGGTCAGGCCTGTATCCAATGTCTATTCCTGTTTTCTCCTCTTTATACTTCACAAGCGTTTCCTCTAATATTTTCCTCTAGGTTTAATCCTGTTTTGGGATCTGACTCTTGAAGAACCAAAATTAACCAAATCTTCATCCTGAAAAGTGAACAAATATAAAATGCATTTCAGTTCATAGCCAACACATAAATAATCTCTGCTCTACTGCCTACTCCCTCTTTTTCTCAAGTCTCAACTAGCTTCAAAATAATTTTTAAAAAGTCAGCCTCCTCAGCTCTGTGAATTCCTGTACATGCCAGTCTCCTCCATTTACAGCCGAATTGTAAAGATTAACTTTTACTTAAAAACCTCAAGTTCAGTGTTGCTATATCCCTGGGGCAGCTACTCACTTGTATTCATGTGATGGTAGGAAGAAGGTGAAGAAAGATACTCCAGAGAGCTAAATGCATATATTCCTAGGTGCATCTAGACACCTAGGAATAATCTGGTTTAATTTGTTTTAATGTACAGTTGAACAAGGCTAGGAGAAGATCCAGAGGCTATACTTCATTAGTATGTGCTGATTACCTCCAATGAAGTACTTATACCCACCTGAGTTTGCCAGTCGTTTACTTCTTCTTTCCAATAGATTGGGAGTTTCTAAAGGATACATTGGGTCTATTGTATCTGTAATTCTAGATCTTAATGCATTGATAAAGAGTTCAATTAATACTAGTTGAAAGAAATAAAAGACTAAAACAGAAAGACGGAAAAAAGGAAGCACAGAAGTATAGTTTTGTGATAAAAAGAGGACATAGAAGAATGCTAAAGAGTGATAGTTCCAAAGGAGATATAAAGATAAGATTTTTCAGTGGAAGAGGTTATAGATGTTTAAGGGTAAATAGAGAAGATTTTCTGGTGGAAACAGAACTTAACCCAAATTTTGTCGGAATAGTAAGACTGCTATAAAGGATACACAAGATGGAAGGCTCTTCAGGCAAGGCAGAGACCGAAGACTCATATGTAAATTGCAAACTTAAAAACAACAATAGCAACAATAGTCAAGACCTGACACAACAGAAGAATTATATTGTGCAATACAAATCTTTGTTTTGATAAGGATACTAAAATTATCTTGGCCAAAGTGCCAACCAAGCAAGCAGTACCAGCAGGGGAGCATAACCATTTCATATTCTTAGATACAGATTTGTTATTTGTCTGTTTATTTATTTTCTCTGAAAAGGTGATCTACTCAGACGGTTTAGAACCTGCATATGCATGGGGCAGGTGGATGATAATCTCTCCCTAACCATTTGGATTAGCTGAATCAACACGGATATTCAAAAGACTGAAGAGGTTGTGGCCAGATCACTTTCAAATAGAATTCTACAATGTTCAAAAGAATTCCCTTCACTGTGAATTTGAGAAAAGACAAAACAGTCTCTGTTTGTACACTTGCAAATGACAGAAAAGCTGTTACAAGCTTCCTGTCATATTTTGAAAGAGTGTTAGCATTGGGAGAGAAGAAAATTTGGGGATGTGAAGGAAAAATTCTCTTGGTAGAACAGAAATAATATTTTCAAAATCACTTAAGAAAGATAAAATAATAAAGATGCCAGGACTTTGAAATTACATTTCTAAATATTTGGTATGCTTGAGAACAGTGAGTTAGATTGCTAGAATCTTGCCTTGCTACATCTCAATATTAAAGTATGAGAAAAAAATCAAAGAAATCCCTTTCACTAATATTGATGTTCTTACACCTGATATAACTTAAATATTTTTCCTAGTAGATGTTGACTTGAGGCTTTTCTATCAATGCAGCCACATAACTGTGTTGTTACACAGGCTATAGAAACTAACAGATTATTATAATTATTATTGATTATTAATTTATAGTGAGCCCTCAAAAATACCAATATCTTAGTTTGTTCTTGGAGTCTACAAAATAAATTTAATTTGTTTTCTATATGACAGTGTTTAAATATTTCAAGAGAGTATGTGCCATCTAAGTCTTTTCTTCTTTAGGCAGAACATACATCCTCCTAATTCTAATAACACTTGAATTGATAACCTTCTATTTATTATTAGATTTTTAAAGCAGCACTCCCAGCCCCTTCAAGTTAAAACAATTCTCCAGGTAAATTCTGGTCAATACAGTATAAAAAGTAAAGTTCTTTTTCTGGACTCAAAATTCTATAAACTCTTTATGGACAGCTTGATTTTGTAATGAGCTTAATAAACTTAGAAAATCCATTTAAATCCTATACTTAATAAATAAAACAAAGCAAAACATGAATTGCTGTTCAGCTAGCTTTTCCTCACCTGTACATTTGTAATGATATTTTTCTCATCCACATGGAGGCCTTCATATTTATTCTTACTATCATTTTTAATTTTCTTTTTCTGTGTTGTATACTAAAACACATCTGAACAATGATTCCTTGCCCTATTTAGTGAATTGGAAGCAAATACAGTTTTCATCAACTTGTACAGCTGAATTCCATGAACAATTTCAGGGATGCAGTTTGCAGGATTAGTTGAAGAAGAGAAAACCTGGAGGCAAAAGTAAACTCTTTAAAAAAAAAAAAAAGAAAAGAAAAATTCCTAGGATAAATGATAGTTGTAAGAAAGACAATAACAAGACAATGGAACTGTAAAGAGCTAATAAAAATCAGTGATTTACTAGCTGTATACAGTAAGTCAAAAAGTGACTCATGTTTTGAGTTTAGGTGTTCAGAACTTGATGGTAAATTTGGCGCACATAATGATGTCCAAAGGGAAAGGTGGTCCGGGAGAAGGATGATGATCTTGACTTAGATATATTAATTTGGAAGTGATGGTGGTACAAACAATTAGAAATTCCCAAAGCACATGTCAATGATGGGAGAAAGCTGTTCTGAACTGCAGAATGGAGGTGAATGTTGAAAGTAGATATTGATAGTCATCCAAGCAGGAATAATTGCTGAAGCTCTAAGAAGGGCTCAGAATTTTCTGAGACATAAATTATCTTAAAGTTATAAGCTCTGGGATTCCAGAAGTTGTATACAGCCTAGGGAGAAAAATCATAAGGAAGCTTTATCAAACTGCATGGAAGAGGTGGCATATTAGAAAGAGATTTATTGATACAGAACAGAAAATATTGAACTTGTCTTTAAAGTGCTTCTTTTAATGGAGCCCTCTGATACTAACCTTGTAAGATTCGAGATAGATCGTAACCCCTTTTGTGCGTAAATCTCCATTAAGATTTTTTTTAATAACGACATATTTGCTCTTATTTATTATCAAAATATATTATTGTTTTTAAAACTTTGTCTTAAAGAAGTGAAATATATTATGAGGCTTCTTAAATTTGGCATTAATTTTAAAAGTTACTCGCTCCGCCTCCCAGTTTCACGCCATTCTCCTGCCTCAGCCTCCCGAGTAGCTGGGACTACAGGCGCCCGTCACCACGCCTCGCTAATTTTTTGTATTTTTAGTAGAGACGGGGTAGCCAGGAAGCTCTCGATCTCCTGACCTCGTGATCCACCCGCCTCGGCCTCCCAAAGTGCTGGGATTACAGGCGTAAGCCACCGCGCCTGGCCTGAAATAGTTACTTTTAAGATGCATAGCCGAAAACTGTGTTTTTAAAAAACAGTTAAATTATTAGTTTACAAATAATTTTTTTAATTTGAATTATCTCGGTTATTCTTTTATAGTTGATATATCTTCCATAAACTATACATTCCAGAGGTATAAATTACTACATTTTTGAGTTTTCCATTGACATTAATATTATTACCATAATAAATGCATAATTAAAATAAAATGAACAATTCCAAACCACTAAATTATGGGCTCCTGTTTCCATAATAAGGTATGATATGAAAACTTATGCATTATATTTCACAGGTAATATTTTAAAGATTACCCAGTAAATGTTTGTATTATTGGAGCAGGGTTAAAAATAACCTTAGAATTTTCTGATCTCATTTTATTTAGTTTTACATGTAAATAATTCATTTTCAATTGTAAAAGCAATAACTCCTCTTATCTAGCTAGAGCTGTGCTTTTTTTAAAAAAAGCTTTCAGTTGTGACTCAATGTTAAATAATCTGTGTAAAGTTAACTGGACTTATTGTACTCATATAACCGTGGCTTATTTTATAGCCAGTTCACATTTTTGTATTCTCTTCCTTGGACTTCATTTATCATGATTTAGATATTTATCAGATCATTCTTTATAAGCTATTCATTGTGTCAAAGTAAAGAAGGAGTTCTGAGAAAAGTCTGTAGGGTATTATTGCTGTTCAATTATTTTATATTTTCTCATCCCTGTTTCTGCTTTAAAGATGCTTAGTGCATCCAAAATGTAGAATTATAAAAATGTGTCTCTCATGCAAAGACAAAAATATATTCTCCAGTGATATGTTTACATTTATTGATCTTCACAAAACTTTTCCCATAGTTTTCTCCTAAAATATCGTAACATTTAATGTATGATACTTAACAAATTCAGGAAAATAAGCAGTTTTTTGTAATATTTTTTAATAATGAAATCTTATTGCTGGGAAACACAACAACCCAAATAACGAATGCACGCCTGGGATACATAGGGAGACCCCATCTCTAAAAAAAAAATAAAGCAATAAAGATAAATTTAGCCAGGTGTATTGGTGCATACCTGTGGGCCCAGCTACTTGGGAGGCTGAGGCTGGAGGATCACATGAGCCTGGGAGGCTGAGGCTGAAGTGAGCTGTGATCATGCCACTGCACTTCAGCCTGGGCAATAGAGAAAGACTCCATACAAAAAAAAAAAAAAAAAAAAGGAAAGAAAAAGAAGGGGTATATGTATAGAAAAACATAAGACATTGGCTACCTCTTAGAGCATTATAAAATACTTAAATCTAATGTAACATTATTACTTTAAAATCAATTGAATTTAATACAGACTTAGACAGAAAAAAATTTATTGAAACTCAAAATGAATGTTTCTGGCTGCCGTCTAACAAATATAAATGAAACGATACCAGCATTAAAATACACTAAAGATGAGATTGACTTTGTTTCATATGAAATTGTTTGCTACTCCAAAAAGGTTGTAGATTTTCTTCAGAAGAATAAAAACATGGGAATATATAAACTGTTCATTAGACCCAGTCTGCTTATGAGATCAGCATTTCATATATCATCTTGAAAAAGCCCCTTGTGGCTAACATTCTCAAAAGAAAATAAGAAATCAATATGAAGTTTATATAATTTAAGAGTCACAAATTACACATCAGTGATTGAAGTGAATTCTTGAGAACTTTTAGAATTATGTCTAATAGTTATTCAAGATTGGATGTTGTATGCAACTTTAAAAATCACACCCATGTTTTAATTACTGTCTTCCGAGGATAATAAATGTTAATATTAAGTTATTTTATAAATAATGATAATTATAAAATATTATAATTTATATTATATTTAAATTATCATAATGATAATTTATAAAATAAATATGCAATTATATTTTCAGTATTGATTCTGAATATTATATTTAATTATCATAATGATAATTTATAAAATAAATATGCAATTATATTTTCAGTATTGATTCTGAAGAAAGTCTAATGTTTCAAAATAAATTTTCCTTACCCGACTGAAGATGTAACAATTTTTGTGTGTAATTGGAGATTTTAAATATTTAACTGTTCATTTATTTCATCGGTAAATGTAGATTAGTGAAGCTGTAAAGTTTTCTTGCTTGCTGCTTGTGATCTTAGTTTTTTTCTTGGCCAATTAGATGTCATTATTCATATATAATTATTTTTTCACTTTATCATCTTAGCATTTACTGTGGAAAGATGAGAAATAACTGGAGCCCCTTTTTCATGATAAAATGATCATCAACTTCATAACTTAGTTTTATTATTTCCTATGAGACTGGCAATGACTCTTATCTTATTGGTAAATATAATTGCTTAAATAAATATATTTTTCTTTACACTATATTTTAAATTATTGCAGCAACAAATCCTGCAAATCTAGATTTTGTGGTAATCCAATACCTACAAAATTATACGCTATGCAGTCTGTAGAAATATGGATAGATGATTTTTTGCATTACTCATTATTTTTCAAGACTTTAAACATGTCTTTGATATTTAATGTTGAAAATAATAAGCCAATGGCAAAAGGACAGTCTGTTCAATAAATATTACTAGGAATTTTGGACATTCCACATGCAAAAAATATAGTAGGGCTCATTTAATACCACATACAAAAATTAATTTAAAATGGATCAAATACCTAAACAAAAGAGTTATAAGCTTAAAACTTTTAGAAGAAAATTTTCATGACATTGGATTTGCGAATGATTGCTTAGACATGACACCTAAAAGCAAAGGCAACAACAACAAAAAATTAGATAAATTGGTCTTCATCAAAATTAAGGACTTTTGTTTATCAAAACTTAACTATAAGCAGAATGAAAGTACAACCAAGGGAATGAGAGAAAATATTTGCACAGCAAATATCTGACAAGAGATTAATATACAAAATATATTTTAAAAACTCCTACAACACAACAACAACAATACAACCAAATTCAAAAATGGGAAAAAGACTTTAAAGACATTTCTGTAAAGAAGATAAACAAGTGGCCAGTAAACACAAAAAAGATGCCCAATATCACTAGCCATTAGTAAATTTGTAAGTCAAAATTAGAAGTGAGATATCACTTCATACATTAAGAAGGCTATTATATAAAAGGAAATAGAAAATACCAAGTTATTATAAGGATGAGGACAAGTTGAAATCTGTGCATCACTGTGGAACAGAAGCTTTGTAATTCCTCAAAGAGCTAAGCCTAGTAGAATTATTATATGATCCAGAATTATGTATGTGATTATATACAACCCAAAAGAATTGAGGAGATGGTCAGACACTTGTACACCTATGTTCATAGCAGGATTGTTCACAATAGTCCAAAGATGGAAATAACGAAAATACCCATCAACAGATTAATGGATAAGCAAAGCGTGCTTATATAATACAGTGGAATATTATTCAGCCTTAAAAAGGAATGGAGTTCTGACACATGTTACAACAAGGAGGAAACTTGAAACTATTATGCTAAGTGAAATAAGCCAGACATGCAAAGACAAATATTGTATGAATCACTTACATGAGTTATCTAGAATAAACACATTCATACAGACACAAAACAGAATAGAGACTATTGAAGGCTGAGGGGGAGGGGTATTGATTAGTTATGGTTTATTGGGTACAGAGTTTCTATTGGGGATGATGGAATAAGTTCTGAAAATGGATAGTGGTGATGGTTTCACAACAGGTGAATATGTTTCATGACACTTAGAAATGGTTAAAATGATAAATTTTTGTGATTTTAAATATTTTACCACAATTAAAAAGCAAACAAAAGTCTATTTTCAAAACTTAGACTGCATATGTTAGTAGCCAGATTCCTGCCAGAGGAGAAATAGGGTGACATCCAGAAGCCTTTTTCTTTTTCTTTTTTTTTTAATTATACTTTAAGTTCTAGGTTACATGTGCACAACGTGCAGGTTAGTTACATATGTATACATGTGCCATGTTGGTGTGCTGCACCCATTAACTCATCATTTAACATTAGGTATATCTCCTAATGCTTTCCCTCCCCCCTTCCCCCACCCCATGACAGGCTCCAGTGTGTGATGTTCCCCTTCCTGTGTCCAGGGGCTCTCATTGTTCGATTCCCACCTATGAGTGAGAACTTGCAGTGTTTGGTTTTTTGTCCTTGTGATAGTTTGCTGACAATGATGGTTTCCAGCTTCATCCATGTCCCTACAAAGGACATGAAACCATCCTTTTTATGGCTGCATAGTTTTCCATGGTGTATATGTGTCACATTTTCTTAATCCAGTCTGTCATTGATGGACATTTGGGTTGGTTCCAAGTCTTTGTTATTGTGAATAGTGCCGCAATAAACATACATGTGCATGTGTCTTTATAGCAGCATGATTTATAATCCTTTGGGTATATACCCAGTAATGGAATGGCTGAGTCAAATGGTATTTCTAGTTCTAGATACCTGAGGAATCACCACACTGTCTTCCCCAATGGTTGAACTAGTGTACAGTCCCACCAACAGTGTAAAAGTGTTCCTATTTCTCCACATCCTCTCCAGCACCTGTTGTTTCCTGACATTTTAATGATCGCCATTGTAACTGGTGTGAGATGGCATCTAATTGTGGTTTTGATTTGCATTTCTCTGATGGCCAGTGATGATGAGCATTTTTTAATGTGTCTGTTGGCTGCATAAATGTCTCCTTTTGAGAAGTGTCTGTTCATATCCTTTGCCCAGTTGTTGAGGGGGTTGTTTTTTTCTTCTAAATATGTTTGAGTTCTTTGTAGATTCTGGATAGTAGCCCTTTGTCAGATGAGTAGATTGCAAAAATTTTCTCCCATTCTGTAGACTGCCTGTTCACTCTCATGCTAGTTTCTTTTGCTGGCCAGAAGCTCTTTAGTTTAATTAGATCCCATTTGTCAATTCTGGCTTTTGTTGCCACTGCTTTTGGTGTTTTAGACATGAAGTCTTTGCCCATGCCTATGTCCTGAATGGTATTGCCTAGGTTTTCTTCTAGGGTTTTTATGGTTTTAGGTCTAACATTTAAGTTGAATTAATTTTTGTATAAGGTGTAAGGAAGGGATCCACTTTCAGCTTTCTACATATGGCTAGGCAGTTTCCCAGCACCATTTATTAAATAGGGAATCCTTTCCCCATTGCTTGTTTTTGTCAGGTTTGTCAAAGAGCAGATGGTTGTAGATGTGTGGTATTATTTCTGAGGGCTCTGTTCTGTTCCATTGGTCTATATCTCTTTTTTCGTACCAGTACCATGCTGTAGCCTTTTAGTATAGTTTGAAGTCAGGTAGTGTGATGCCTCCAGCTTTGTTCTTTTGGCTTAGGATTCTCTTGGCAATGCGGGCTCTTTTTTGGTTCCATATGAACTTTAAAGTAGTTTTTTCCAATTCTGTGAAGAAAGTCATTGGTAGCTTGATGGGGATGGCATTGAATCTATAACATACCTTGGGCAGTATGGCCATTTTCATGAATTGATTCTTCCTATCCATGAGCATGGAATGTTCTTCCATTTGTATGTGTCCTCTTTTATTTCGTTGAGCAGTGGTTTGTAGTTCTCCTTGAAGAGGTCCTTCACATCTCTTGTAAGTTGGATTCCTAGATATTTTATTCTCTTTGAAGGAATTGTGAATGGGAGTTCACTCATGATTTGGCTCTCTGTTATTGGTGTATAAGAATGCTTGTGATTTTTGCACATTGATTTTGTATCCTGAGACTTTTCTGAAGCTGCTTATCAGCTTAAGGAGATTTTGGGCTGAGACGATGGGGTTTTCTAAATATACAATCATGTCATCTGCAAACAGGGACAATTTGACTTCCTGTTTTCCTAATTGAATACCCTTTATTTCTTTCTCCTGCCTGATTCACTATGTTGAATAGGAGTGGTGAGCGAGGGCATCCCTGTCTTGTGCCAGTTTTCAAAGGCAATGCTTCCATTTTTTGCCCATTCAGTATGATATTGGCTGTGGGCTCGTCATAGGTAGCTCTCATTATTTTGAGATACGTCCCATCAATACCTAATTTATTGAGAGTTTTTAGCATGAAGCGTTGTTGAGTTTTGTCAAAGGCCTTTTCTGCATCTATTGAGATAATCATGTGGTTTTTGTCTTTGGTTCTGTTTATATGCTGGATTACATTTATTGATTTGCATATGTTGAACCAGCCTTGCATCCCAGGGACGAAGCCCACTTGATCATGGTGGATAAGCTCTTTAATGTGCTGCTGGATTTTGTTTGCCAGTATTTTACTGAGGATTTTTGCATCAATGTTCATCAGGGATATTGGTCTAAAATTCTCTTTTTTTGTTGTGTTTCTGCCAGGCTTTGGTATCAGGATGATACTGGCCTCATAAAATGAGTTAGGGAGCATTTCCTCTTTTTCTATTGATTGGAGTAGTTTCAGAAGGAATGGTACCAGCTCCTCTTTTTACCTCTGGTAGAATTCGGCTGTGAATCCATCTGGTCCTGGACTTTTTTTGGTTGGTAGGCTATTAATTATTGCCTCAATTTCAGAGCCTGTTATTGGTCTATTTAGGGATTCAACTTCTTCCTGGTTTATTCTTGGGAGGGTGTATGTGTCCAGGAATGTATCAGTTTCTTCTAGTTTCTAGTTTATTTGTGTAGAGGTGTTTATATTATTCTCTGATGGTAATTTCAGGGACAAGACGCAGGCGGAGGGTTTCCTTGGAGCAGTGAGTCCTTAATGCTGATCTCACTTTCCAGGGCAGCCATGGCTTCTTCAGCACTTCTCTTTTGTGTCATCAACCCCTGACATCCTTACCTCAACTCCTCCTTTAGTTGTGAATCAGTTGTGTTGTATTTCTGTCATCTGACACTAAAGAATCCTGACCAAAATCCCCTCCCGGCTGCTGCCTCCAACCCACAACAGTGGCTCAATGCTTTACTTTCAGAAACAGGTTATGAACTTCGACATGATGATTTCCTTTTGAAAAACAGATGCATTTTAAACAACAACAATAACAAACAACTATCCTTCTGAGCCTTTGGCTCCTCCTCTCACCACTAAGCTGGACCAGAAGCTCTGTTTACCACACTCATGGGGGGACCTGCAGCTTGAGCCACAGCCCCGTTCAGGATCCGTGGACTGGCCTCAGCTAATGGTTCTTTTATTTTTCTCACTGGTAAAAGTACTGGTGTTGAGTCACTCATGGCAGTGTCTTAGTAGACGGTCACGGATCCTCTCAGCCTCTGTCTGCCAGAGAGATACTAGAAGCAAGATTCAGTTTAAAGAAATAAAAGGTGGCAAGTTTAGGCAACAGAAGGATGGCTTTCTCCTCAAGAATCACTGTTCTGCAGATGGCTTGGTGGGTGGGAGACCCATCCCAGCGGAAACTTGGTTGGCATGTGGTGAAGATGGAGGGGCCACAGGAGGAAAGGAGCAGGGGTCACTGTGTCACCCCTAGAGGAAAGTCGCATCTATCCAAGGACACTTAGATTGAAGGAGGACATTCTGGATGCCCAGAAAATCCATGCCATTTTAAGAACTTGCTAGTTTCAATCGATTTTCCCTCATTTCTTCCTATTGAAATCTGGGTCTCTTAGTTTACACATTTGGAGGGACCCTGTAGTCCTCTCTCCTGCCTGCCAACATTGACCAGACACAAAGGAAAGAGGGGACCTTTACCACCACCTCTCCCACCCCCGCCAAAAGTAGCTGAGTTAAGCTGGGATTTGGGGCTTAGTGTCAGGAGCACAGGTATGTTTACTCAAATTTCACACCTGCCAAACACAGAACAGTCACAACCACTGCAAGATGTTTGCCTGTGTTTTCTCTATTTAAGAGATATTTGGATTTTTCTTTTTATAGTTTAACTGCCGTTATTTCACTAATGCTACAATTATTCTTATTGAAGTTTGATAGTGGTATATTACCTAAAATAGTATTGTTCAAATGTAGATTTACTATAATTCATAGAAATACGTTATTTCTACATTTTTGGATCTTTTATAATTAGTATAAATATCATGTTTTCATTTAAATAAAAGTTTCATTAATACTTAAACCATGATTAATGTTTTACATAGATTTAAAACAATAAAGACCATTTCTGTGAAGAATACTAACAGAAAAGCAAAAGAGAAACTACAAGACCTTAACAAAAACAAAGATCTGTTTAGATATTTATACTCTACATTAGAAACCATAATAGTATTTTTTTAGTAGGTAGATTTTTTTAAATATATAAGTTCTATTATAAGATAATATTTAAGTTATACATAATTCCTTCTATATAGCTACACTAGCATTGGAAAGGACATCAAACTCAGTAAGTTTGCTCACATATATTTATTAGTTACATCCTGTATAAATTTTTGTCTTAGTTTTTTTTGTTTATTTTACTCTGTAGAATGTATTGTTCTCCATATTTTATTTTGTGTAGGTCGCAAAAGAATATTTTTCTCAATAAAATCTTGAAGCACCTAATATAAAAAAAAATCCATCAATTTGTTATTAAGTGTATGAACTACAGAGACTGACCAAAGCAGTGAGAAAGAATGTCAGAACAAACTGTGACTCTGCAATTTGAGTCTGGGAGGTCACCAGAGGTCCTCCTCAAGACCAATTCATTTTAAAATGCACAGTCTTTGAAGTAATACCTCTTGATGCCAATGCCTGTGTTAGAAGCTATAATCAAAAACTGTAAATCTTTTTGTCACCATGAATTTTATAAAGCAATCAATCTCAATCCCTCAGGACAAGAACTTTGGGGAAAAAATTGTGTTTCTCCCATCTGGAAAGACTAGTAAATCATTTTCAAATTGATATCTTGTGTGATGTTAATATAGATATAGATATACAGTCCATCTATTTTGAAAATGTAATGAATAATTTAATGATTTGCTAGGAACCGTATTTTCAGCATCATTATTGCCTCACGGTAAACATACCTGAAAGGTTAGGGTGAAGCTATTCTCCTTTAAGATGTATTTGCTAGGTATTAATAGTATTTTTGTTTGATTTTTGGAAGTATTAAGGTTTAAGAAAAAATGAATGAAATTTTCTTAAAAATTTAATCTTTAAAACATATTCTGGAGACCCACTAGAATTTAACTATCCCTCTCATGATGATTTCGTATTGTTCAAATTGTTTTCATGTGGATGAAGCGACATTGTATTCTTTAAATTTTAAGTATGTAGTTCTTTACTGCACACCAAACCGAAATTGAGTAAAAAAGTGCATTGAACTAATATTTCAGTGGCATCCTCACATGTTAGTGTTCACATTCTCTTTCTCAAGGGCATTTCTTGCACTTATGTTAGTACCTAATTCCTTCATAATTAATACCGTATGCTTGTATATGTGTTCATTTTTTCTTGTAACATGTTTATGGAAAACAAACAAACAAAAAAGTAACTTGGTCTTCAGAGTCAGTGATTATGTCCTCTGAAATGCAGTTAGCCTTTAATGTTATACAGAGACATGCATGGTGAGATCTTGCTCTTAATAAGGCAGATCTGGTCTTCACCACCACCACAGCAAATGTGCTCAAGGCATTTTTATGAATGCAACTAGTTCAGGTATTATTAGAGCATTCAACTCATATACTTGAATTTATTTCTATTGTTGACATATAAACATAATATGGGTTTTTAGATTTCAAACTTCCAGAAGATTATAAGTAAGCAAAGTATTTCTCTCATAAGTTCATCCAGCACAATATTCAAAGCTGTCATATGTGTTTAGCTGAAGAGTGCTGAGGACAATGGCTATGTTGGTATGACATGTTAAAAATGCATTGAATTAAAGAAAATCAGAAGTATTGTACTTTTTGCCAAATCCTGTAACTGAATCATATATTGTGAACAAGCTGATCAGATATTCAAAAACTGGCTTGTACCAGTTGAGATAAAAAGAAAAACTTGGAATTTTACATGGTTTATATATATTATATGTAGATATATGACATACATATTTAAAATGTAGATACAAGTAGCCAAATTAACAAAAATTACACAAATTGCACCTTATCTCATTGTGTTAGTTTTAAATTATTTTATTTAGCTTATAAGCTTGAATTTGCCTTGGAATGTTAGAATTTGGAAAGATTAAAAATTTATTGCCAAAATTGTACAATGCAGACCATCATCCCACCACCTCACTTTTTTTCTCCTTTCATTCACCATAGCATTCCTTCACTTTGTGAGATGACTTTGTGCCCTTGGGACCTAATGACAACTTTAATGATTGTTTACAGCTTGTGTATTGTGTATGTGTTTATGTACATTTGATTGATTTTCCGCATAAAAAATAGTCAAATGAAAGGATGATTGGGTATTTTAATGAACTGAGACTCCAGAAAAAAAAGTCAAATAAAAAGAGCTGTTAGGAAGAATATTTTCATAGCCTATGGTGGAAAACATATTCAATGCTTTTGAGAATTAAGTATTTATTTTTGTTGAGTGTTTATTTGATTTTCTCCAGCTAGCTATTAATTTCAGGAAAAATAATCAATCTATGTAAGACAATCCTAACGGAAGGTAATCTTTTAATTCTATTTTGCAGTTCAACTGCTTGAGTTAAATATGTTTAAAATATAGAAGTATTGATAAATGTGGGGATATCTGTTAGAATAGGATGTATGATGGCTTGGTCTTCATATTATCCTGAGGTTTTACTAATGCAATATTTATAAATGTAAAAAATTTCCTGTCAGGTGCAAATAGTGTTTGCTTACTTTGAATAGCATCTTAATTAAAATTCACGTGTTTTAAAGTTTGTTACTTCCAAAATCAAAGTGGGGAAAATTGATTTGACCAAAACAAATAATAAAGTGATGAAAAGAGTTTAGCAGTTTAGATAGACCTTCCTATTTTACAGTTATATTCATGGTAGATATATTGGATGTGTTAAAAATATACTTCAGATATGACAAGTTAATAGAAAGCAGGAGTGATTTTAAGAAGTCACTAACTGTTGGATAAATCATTAGTGCAAATGTTCAGAAATTTCCAGTATTTAAATGCATAATACTGTGAAGAACTTGAGAAAAAGTTAGCTATTTGGGGTAAATGTTGCCTTGCTTACCCTGAAAGGCCTATTTGGATATATTTACATATTACTATACTTAGAAAATCCTTAACTATGATTTACTCAAAATCTCTGTATCCTAGAACAGTTTTGATGGCCTGACCTAGCATTATTGATTGATAATAGTACAAATAGCAATTTAATTGAGTCATTACCCTGTTTCTAACAATGTGCTAATAGGTTTATATCATTATCTTATTTTATCCTTACCATAGCTATTATCCCCACACTGCAGGAGAGATTGAGAGCCAGAGATTGGAAGTAACCATTCATGGCGCCCGTCAGTGGCGGAAAAACAACTTGAACTCATTAGTCAAGCCAAACCCTAAGCTCTCTGTGATACTGCTCCTCTGACTCAGAATCCTTAACAAATTCAAGGATCTATTTTTGTGATCAAGGTTGCCCTCACTCAAAAGTAATTCAAAGATTTATTTTTGAGATCAACGTTGACCTCACTCAAAAGTAAAGATGAAAGTAGCGTTCCTATAGAAATTAAAAAGCCTTGATTCCGAGCAAGGATTTCTTAAAAGCTCCTAGTTTTTTTTTAAATTTTAATTTTATTTTAAGTTTTGGAGTACACGTGCAGGATGTGCAGGTTTGTCACATAGGTAAACATGTGCCATAGTGGTTTAAAATCTCCTGAATTTTTAAATAGAAAGAGATTCTACATTCCTGACTTCCAATAATATATGATTATTATTAGAATAATATATTCTAACACCAGCCTGTGTGACAGCGTGAGACCCTGTCACAAAAATAAAATAAATAAAATAAAATAAAAAGTAAATAAAAGTAGACATAGATATATGCGTGCATATATATGGAACACTGTAAAATATATAAAGCATTATATATAGAGAAAAATTTTCAGGCCTTCATAAGTAATTTAACTATAAATGGATTATAAAAATCACTTTCAAAAACATCTTTAAAATATTTGGTTTTAGAGACCAACCAATAGACAATTTCGTATTTCACTAAATATATTAAACTCTATTACTGTATTGATTATAAAAATGAAGCATATTTGGATTACATCTTCTCAATTCCTCTATGAAGTTATTTTACTATTTCATTATTTCCTTTGCATTGGAGAAGAGATAATACCAGGAATTCGTTTGAAGAATACTTACTAAAAATCTGAAACTTTCACTGAGAAGATACTATATTTTTACACATCACAAATATTTTTTGAAAAAAATTCTATAAAATTACAGAGCCGTTGCTATACATTTTGAGGTTTACTTAATGCAACAATAAATATTTAATATAGTATGAAAGTTTTTAAATCTTAACTCTGGGAAAACTCAAAACCAAATTTAATATTTAGCTGTAATTATAATCCTTGCTGTACGTGTTTGTATTACTCTTCGCTAAACCTCAGAACCATACACTGTTTAATGTATTAATTGCTTAGTTGAGTTCTCTCTATGTCTAAGATTCAACTCAGGATCTTCTCTTCCAAATCTGATCTTCCTCCAATATTCTCTGCGTTAGTAAAATGGAACTACCCTCTCCACCTCTTGACGTCATTCTTGACACCTCTTTGTTTTTCATACTCGGTCACAAAACTTGCCAATTTCACCTCTTGAATATTGTTCGCTTGTTTTCACTTTTTTTTTCTTTCCAGAGCTACCACCTCTTGACTGCTGCTTACCTGTCATACCACAGTATTTCTATGCCACTTTTTGTCATCTTCAATTTACTTTCTACATAGAAGACATTATTTGAAGAATTAAAGACAAAATACGACCAGGGTACAGTGGTCATGCCCGTAATTGCCTCACTTTGGAAGGCGGAGGTGGGAGGATCCCTTCAGCCCAGGAGTTCAAGACCAGCCTGGGCAGCATAGGGAGACCTTGTTCCTACAAAAAATAAAAATAAAAAAATTAAACAGGTGTGGTGGTGCATGTGTTTGATGCCAGCTACTGGAAAGTCTAAGGTGGGAGGATCTCTTGAACCTGGGAAGTCCAGGCTGCAGTGAGCTGTGATCACGCCACTGCACTCCAGCCTTGGTGACAGAGAAAGACCCTGACTCAAAAGCAAAATAAAATGAGATTATGTCATGCCCTCAGTTAGAGCTATTCAAGGATTTCTTGGTTTAAGAATATAGAGCCAAATTAATATGTCCCCTGAGCTCTGTAAAATTTGGCACCCTCCTGTCCTTACAGGCTGGGTTTTGTCATTCTCTTCTTCATTGCCCATACCCTATTTACCTTGGCTTTATTTTGGATTTTTGTAGATACCTCGTTTCTTTTCTCTCAGAACTTTTACACAACCGCTTCTACCATTTTGAAATATCCCCCTAACCTCTCACTCACCTTTTACTATTAAACCCTTCTTCAGCTTTCAAAATTAAGCCAAAGCACAATTTCCTAAAAACAACTCTGTTCCCTTTACCAAATCATTTCTGCATGACTTTTTGCTCCGAAGGAAAGTTAATGGGTCATGATGTTTAAGTAGTTTCTAGAAAGAAATTTAGCAGCAGTGGTACCTCTTCCACAAACTGAAGATTGTGAAGAATTAATGAGTAATAAGGCTGGGAGCAGGGGCTCACAACTGTAATCTCAGCACTTTGAGAGGCTGACTTAGGAAGATTGCTTGAGGCCAGGAGTTCTAGATGAGCTTGGTCAACATAGTGAGACCCTGATTCTACAAAAATGAAAAACAAAACAAAGCAAACAAACAAACAAAAACTAGCCTGGCATGATGGTGTGTGCCTGCAGTCCTAGCTACTTGGGAGGCTGAGGTGGAAGGATTGCTTGATTGTGCTTGAGCCTGGAAGCCCCAGACTGCAGTGAGCAATAGGGCAAGACCCTGCCTCTTTAAACAAAACAAAACAAAACCAAAAAAAAAAAAAAAAAAAAGAAGAAGAAGAAAAAAACGGACTTAATCAGCAATAATTTTATTTAAAAAATAAGATACTAGAATTGAAGTGTGAAACTGAAATATTGAAGTATAGATAGCAAGAAAAGATTGTGCTTTGGAAAATTTTGAGGTAAAGGCAAGAGTGGATAATAGTTCAGCAATATTTTCTTCCAGATGAATGAGACAACACATTTCTAAAGAGAATGGAAGGATTCAGCGCAGTAAATGTAGGTATGTGTGGACTTACATGTACATAGAAGAAAAGACTAAAAAATAAGTGTCCAATTTGATGAATAGTAAATGCATAGGAACTTCAACATAAAAGCCAGGTAGGTAATAATTGACGATGACTAGTCTAATTCTGGAATGGATGAAAAATTAATTTTTTTGAAACTCTGGGTATCTTGCATGAACCAGTTGTTCTAAAACTTCAGAATTTGTTAAGTTTTGATGTTGCAAAAGCAGAAGGAGTGAAATTGCGTAGCAACTACCATACAAACTATAGAGATATGTTCTATTTTTTGCCACCCAATGAGTTAGATTTCCCACAATTCCTAGTGTCAAAAATGTAAACACATAACTGCTATCTAAGTGACAGAGATATCCCTCTTATTCTGAGCAGTGCACTAAAGTCGGAGATGCTCTCTCTGCAGCGGGGGTTAGGCCTTCTTTTGTATCTTAAGGACATGTGCTTTTTCTTTTTAATTTTCCCTCACATCTGAAGGAGCAAACATATTTGAAAACTCCTTGAAGAAGTACCATTTTCACTTAGATGCCACCATAGTCTTATTTGGAGAAGTAAAAAATACAATAATCTTTCCATAAAGTTTACAAATAAACAAGGGCAAAATATTAAAGCCAATGTGTCACTTTCTCTTATAAACTAACACACAGTTTGTGGCTTAATCTAAAAAAAAACTACATTATGGCAATTTAATGTTTGCAAGCTCTCCAGAAGTCCTTTTGACATTTTAAGACAAATATTTCACTACATTCTCAGTAGTGAAATACTTCACTTCATTGTGGTTTACTTACATTTATGCCAGAGTCATGCCAAATGAATCCAGTGTTCTTCTAGCGTTTGGGAGACTTTAGTGTAAATGCATCCTTAAACATTATTCCAGATTTTCAACTCATTTCCATTTTAAACCTATCTCTTCTTTCCTTTTTTGTGTATTATGTGCTGATTTTTCTCATACAGCTCATTCCAATGTACTTGCCTTTTTGTGTAATTTGTGTATACACTAAATCCCAAATGCTCTTTATCATCTTCCAAAAGAAGAGTATAGCTAATATTATGAGATTATATTTAGGGAAATTGAGAAAATAAAATGGGAATTTTTCTGGTCAGCATCATATTAAGTACTGAAATCAAATAAAGGGATATTTGAGTTGAGTCTTAAGGAATACTAAGAAGTTTGCCAGTTGACTAAGGGTAAAAATGCAGAGATATGGTCAGGGGCCATGTTGTGAAGAGCTTTCTGTGCTATACCAGGAAATTCAAATTTTATATTGCCACAGATAATGAATCACCAAGGACATCAAATAGAAAGTCATATGATCCAACGTGAATTTTAAAGGGCTAATTTTGAAAGCGTACTGGAGGAGGATAATAGCAAGGGAAGGGAATGGAGGCAGGAGACCTGTTAGTAGACTGCTGTCTTAACTTGGATTAAAGATGATAAAGTCACTTTTAATGAAGGCACTAAAATTGAATGAAGACGTATTTATAACATTGAATTGATTGAACCCTGTCACTAGATGTGAAAGATGTAAGTATAGCAGAAGTTAGATGGCCCCAAATTTTCTACCTGAAACAACTATATTTCAGGAAAAAAACTCAAAATCAAGAATGGATGGTAGGTTTGAAAGTACAAAAATCTGTTAATATTGACATCTGGTTTCATTTCCTGAACAGATTTACATTCAAATTCTGCCTTACTGACAACTCTTGAGTATTCTCTATAGTTATACCTTTTCTGCTTCCTGCCTGATGATTCCTTCTCTTTGCATCCTCCCTGGTTAATCATTAGTTCTTGATACATAAAGGAAGAAAGGAATACAGGCTGCCAAGTTTGGTCCAGCGGTTAGAAAATGTAGAACAGAGCTATTTCAATTTATTCTCTCATTTCAAATCCTAGTTAAAATAATTCCTTATATAAGTGTTTGTATTCATATGCATATCGCCACTAAGGCATATCATATCCCAAGACTTGTGAATTTTAATTCTTATTGCATGACTTTTAGAGAATGTTTATGCCAGAGTCATGCTAAACTAATCTAGTGTTCCTCTAGCATTAGGGAGACTATTAGGTAAATTCACTCTTGAGCATTATACCAGATTATCAACTCATTTCCATTTTAAACCTATCTCTCCTTTTCCTTTTTTGTATATTACGTGCTGATTTTTCTCGTGCAGCTCATTCAGACCATATTTGCCATTTGTGTGTAATTTGTATAGGCACTAAGATCTATCTCTTCTATAATTTGATATTTTCTACTGTAATTGTGGATTTTTTAAAAAGGATTTGGCTTTAAAATAGAAAGAATTGGATTAAACAAGCTAGTAAAATTACATGAGGTCTGAGTTTTGCCGAAACAGTTAAAAAGAGTTAAACTCCTTTTAGAGCAGAATACTTTAAGCTACAACAAGTTATTGGCTAAAGGCAATTTGGAGTGAAAAGAGGAAACAAAATGTTTTAGGGACACTGAAGTGCATCACCACTGAAAGCTCTTTGTAGGTGATAGTGAAAGAAAATAAATAAGTGTGCAGGAGAATTATAATGATTCTGCTGAAAAAGAGTCTAAATTAGGTAGAAAAAGAAAGAGGCACAACCACAATGGATGGACAGCCTCAAACAAGAGATCCAGTGACCTATGTGAGGACTGGTGGAACGGTTTACTTCTAATGGTAGACAAAATTGGGTAGGCCAATAACCCGATTAACAACATCCTATTCAAAGGATGCAAAGGTGTCATTTTCCAATAGAAAGAATAAGTATTTAAGCCATACTTTGACTAGTGCACTCTGAAGTACAAAAATGCATTCTGTCTTTGAAAATGTGTTACTGTAGGTTATATATAGAGTTTGACGTGGTACGATGAAGACATGCTGTTGTAAACTGATCTATTGTGTGGTGGCTGATAGAGTGAAAAAGCAATATGACTTCAGAAAAGAGGTTACTCTAGGGGTCTTATTAGAGTATATAAAGGCTTAGGAAGCTAACACAGGACTAGAGAAAGATGGATTTGTACTGAGCTGCAGTAGCATTCATGAACATGACTGAAAATCCCAACAAACCTTGTGCACTTCACCTGCTGAGTTAAATGTTAATAAAAATTTCAAATCTTATAACTTTTATAGTGCTAGTACCATTTTAAATGAAGATTAATGAAAGTTCAGTATACTTTAGTTTATTAATTAATTGATTAAAAATACACCCATTTAAATAAGTGGGATGATTCTTTACGGAGAAAGTGATTACCAAATCGTGGATTAGTATTAAAATATCTTTGATAAAAATGTCACAGATTTCCCTACTGAACAGCGTAACAATCATAGTTTATACCAAACCCAAATGTTGGTAAATGACTAGGAACTGGTTTTCTGAAGGGTAGAGGAGGCTCTAATTTGTTGGATTACCCAGTTTCCATGGTTTAAAAACACCACCAAGGTTTATTTCAAGCTAACAAATTGACCTTACGAAAGACAGAGTTGAGAAGTTATGCAAAATGGGATCTGAGGAGTTTGTTATGCCACCAAATTTAGATTAAAAGCATCATTTCATGAACGATGTCATATCATAATTTTGTTTTATTTTTTTGAGATGGGGTCTCAATCTTTCACCCAAGCTGGAGTGATCTCAGCTCACTGCAACCTCTGCCTCCCAGGTTCAAGCTATCCTTCTGCCTCAACCTCCCAAGTCACTGTGATTACACCCATATGCCACCATGCCCAGCTATTTTTTATATTTTCAGTAGAGACCAGGTTTAGCCATGTTGGCCAGACTGGTCTTGAACTCCTGACCTCAAGTGATCTGCCCACACTTTAGCGGACCAAAGTTATGGGATTAAAGGAGTGAGCCAACATGCCGGGCCCACATCATAATTTCTTTGAAAAGCCTTACACATATATAGAATTTGAATCAGAATAATGTTATTGGAAATGTGGATCATGGGTAATTTTCTTGATATGTATTGAATCTCAATTTACTTACCTCTCAAATGGATTACTGTAAAAAGTATAGGAGATAATGCCTGGGACAATATCTATAAATAGTATTTCACTATTTCTAATGTGTTTTCTTATAATAATTAGTTCTATTGCCAAATAAGTGAAAATTGACAATATATAGTAACTTAACTGTAGAAATTTACAATTACAGTTTTTTGGGACAGAAGGTCACCAATAAAAGCTGTAAGGTGAATTCTCTTGATGGCATATGACCAGTTTGTATTTATGCCAAAACCAAAACTAAGGTATCCTAGGTCCTATGTAATTCGTTTTTTTTTTTTTCTGTATCATGCTTTTGCATTACCAACTAATAGAAAAGTCATGGTTACATCAACTGGATACATACAGCCTCTAATAAAGGGACAAGTGGAGCGCTAATAAAGATTAGGAGTATCCTTTGCTACAAAATTATCATCCTATTGAAAATAAAACAAAAAGAATAATGCACAATTTTAAAAATGGGATTAATAGAAAGTAAGAAACTTGCTTAAGGTAACATAGTACAGAAAACTAGCAAAATGCATCACACTACAATTATGTATAATTTGAAAATATGTAGTCATGGGCTTTAGGACAGTTATGAATTTTCCTTATTAAAATGCTGATTTTAAAAATAGCCATTTGAGAAGTCATTGGGAGGCCGAGGCGGGCGGATCACGAGGTCAGGAGATCTAGACCATCCTGGCTAACACGGAGAAACCCTGTCTCTACTAAAAACACAAAAAATTAGCCAGGCGAGGTGGCGGGCGCCTGTAGTCCCAGCTATGCGGGAGGCTGAGGCAGGAGAATGGTGTGAACCCGGAAGGCGGAGCTTGCAGTGAGCCGAGATCGCACCACTGCACTCCAGCCTGGGCGACAGCAAGACTCCGTCTCAAAAAAAAAAAAAAAAAAAAAAAAATAATAATAATAATAATAATAATACACTGGAAGCTTTCTGACCCAGTACAAATTTTCTTCACAGTTTATTAACAATAACAATTCACTTTTTTCAGTACACATATACATTATATAGGTACACATTCAGAAACAAACATATTTTCCTTTGTGCATATCACTAAAATGAAGAAAAGTACACCTGAAAGGAAATAAAGTGGGCAAAAATAGTGAAAGCATTGGTAGAGGGGCTTCCATTTGATGCATACATGTTGATATATGTACTGATCTCTTCTCATACTGCTATAAAGAAATACCTGAAACTGGGTAATCTATAAGAAAAGAGGTTTATTTGGCTCATGGTTCTGCAGGCTGCAGAAGAAGCATAGTGGCTTCTGAGAAGGCCTCAGGAAACTTACAATCATGGCAGAAGGGGAAGGGGAAGCAGGAACGTCTACAAGGGCTGAGAACGAGAAAGAGAGGGCGGCAGGGAGCCACATACTTTTAAACAGTCGGATCTTGTGAGTACTCACACACTATCACAAGAGCAGCACAGGGGGAAATCCACCCTCACGATCCAATCACCTTCCACCAAGCCCCACCTCCAATATTGGGGATTACAATTTGACATAAATTTGGGTGGGGACACAGATGTAAACAGTATCAGTATAGAAACACAATACTGTGTCTCACAGCTTTAAGTGCTAGCTAGAAAACTGGCTAGCTATTTTAATTTTTTTTTTTGAGACAGAGTCTCGCTGTGTTGCCCAGGCTGCAGTGCAGTGGTGGGATCTGGGCCCACTGCAACCTCTGCCTCCAGGGTTCAAGCGATTCTTCTTCCTCAGCCTCCTGAGTAGCTGGGATTATAGGCCTGTGCCACCACGCTCAGCTAATTTTTGTGTTTTTAGTAAATACAAGGTTTCACCATGTTGGTCAGGCTGGTCTCAAACTCCTGACCTTGTAATCCACCCGCCTCAGTCTCCCAAAGTGCTGGGATTACAAGGGTGCACCACCATGCCCGGCCTGATGAATTAATTTATTTGTGACATTAATGTGTGATCATAGCTGATCAAACACTGTTCTTTACGATATCTCTTCTGTTTATAATTCCTCAGTTAATTAACAAAATCGTCTTTAACAAAACCAAAGACTCCGAAAAGAGACAATAATAAGCAAAACTAGACTGCAGAAATTTATGTAAATCTTTCATAAGGAAGAAAAAAATAATCGAGAGAAATAACATTTTAGAAACATGTAGTGTGTCCTTTAAATGGTCATAGCAAGTATGTAGTTTTGACATGCACAGTAAAATATTTATTATTAGTGGAACTGGAGTTTGTGGGTGGAAGCACCAACTTCATTTTAGGTTTCCTTTCCTCTCTCTCTCTTTCAACCAATACAAGTTGATTTTTTTTAAACATTTATTTTATTTTTCTATCTAAATGATTAGTGTTCAATCCCCCAGTTTCAGTTTTTTTCTGCTGGCTAAGCAATCCAGGGGAAACTTTCAATTTAAATTCTTATCAAGGAATTTTTAAGCTGATTATTCTAATAAGCACTTTACCAGCTCCCCCAAGGATTTTTGCAACCACCTCAAGCTTTTTACATTTCCATTCAAACTTTACTTTACATTGACTGACATATCTTGGAAATTTCTGAAACTTCCCTCTTTCTGCCTATGTGTTATGCGGGAAGGGGTGGAGTGAAAATGTTATTTCTCCTTCAAACATAAAGTATCTAGTTTATATATGAGAGACTTTTGACTCTTCAGCTGAAATTCTTATTATTAGCCTGAAAAATTATGGTAAATTGTTCATAGGATTTTTAGTTTAAAAAAGTAAATCACGCAAAATGGAAAGAAACTTTTAAAGTGCAAATGCCTCCGTCATGTGACCAGGAAGTTTGGTATGAAAAATAATTCTAAAGAAGCTTATTCTAAACCGCTGAGACTTTGCTATATAAAGTGTTGCCTCCACTATAATGCTTGTATTTAACTGTATATATGTAAATAATTTGCTTAAACTTTGTATCTTCAGAAAATACAGAAAGACATATTTGGCACAAAATATTTAATAAGCATTTACTTATGAATTCTAAGACTATAGTTCTCAAATTTCGTGGACTTAAGAATTGCCCCTAGTTGGTTTAAATATATTTCCGGGTTCCCCTACTCGGGAATTCTGATCAAAGAAGTCTAAGTGTGTTTAGTAATTTGCATTTTCATTTTTAATATACACTCAAAGTGATTCTGATGAAAGTACGAATAGTGCCAGCTTTTGCCAAAAAAAAAAAACTAGCCTAGAAATAGTGAGTTCAATGAGAAAAAGATCTAAGTAAACCGTTGCCCTAATGTTCTTTGTCTCTACAAATGAAATGACAAGATAAAACAGTTGATAAAAAACAACTGTTTTATATGGATTCTTCAGGTACTTTTCCTCTGGATTGCATATGAAATTAGCAGTAGTATACTTGAAAAGAAATGTAAATGCACTTTACAAGATTTTCCTAACATTGCACATTTTATAGCACAAGTTCATGAGAGCTATTAATTGCATTTGTGAATACAAACTATGTACTTCAAACAAAATTTTTGCCTCATGCATTGATTTTAAAGTTATGATTTGTATACAAATAAGGGATTTAAAACTCATCTGCAGTAGGATCAAAGCTTGTAAGGGAGAGTTGTGTTGTCAGCATCATGCATAAATATATTATACTTTCTCTTAGGGATAAAGCAACAAGAATATTTAATTATTGCAAATTTGTGGGGGGAGCAGTGTATAATATATTATTTACTGTGACATTTCATGGTAGATTAAGCAACATCATAGTAATGCCAATGCAATTTAGAAGCTAAGGAATTAAAATAGAACTCCCCAGAGGACAGATGATCATAAAAAATATTGAGGTTTTATACCAAAACATTTCTTTGTTAAAAATTTAACTTTTCCTATATTTTTCTATAAAATAGCTAGATGAACCTTATGCTACAAAATAAAATTGTATTCTTTTGTAATGTGAATAAAGCTCAGTTGTTTAAAAGTAAATAACCCAACAAACCTGTTTCCAGAGTTTTTGATATTAGAGGGAGGTAGTCTATTTACAGTAAGGACTGATATATTTTAAAATATCCTAATTACTGATCTCTCTTATTCTTTTGATGATGGCCTTTCACACAAAGATAATCAAAGACAATTATATTTATTTATACAATAACAAGATCTTTTAGTTAAAAGTTTCGATACTGTTAGTGGCAGAAGACCTGAGATCCTTTGAAATAAAGAATAATATGTTTACATTTTCAAGGGATATTAGAAAACGTAAAAAATTTACATATCACAATGACTTATACAACAGAAAAGGGCTTTTGAACTTGCCCTATGCATTTTAGAAGTGATCTTAAATTGCCATTTATGTTGAGGACGTTGCTTTGTCCCTAATGCCCCCACTCCAAAGAAGCAATGAGAACAAAGAAGCCAGAGTGCTGTTTACAGCAACCAAGATAAATTGTGTGGGGACTAGGGACAAGCCTGGAATACGAAAAAAATTTCACAAAAGTATGCCTGCAGAAATTTGTTTCTTCTAGTACATGATATGTATCACATTATAAGTCTATATGTATACACATATGTATGAAATATGGATATTAGGAAGAGGTATATGGTTCTTAAAACTATCATCAATGAACAATTCTGGAGCTAAATAATTGTATCAGGGAAAAGTCCTATATCTCTGTCTCATTATCTTGACTATGCTATGTGGATCTTAATGAGAATAGTAAAAAATAGGGTGAATCTTTATTTTTGACTATCTCAGCTTTTTCAATTGTGCTTTATTCAAATAAAGTCTCTGATTATGAAAATCTGTGATATGCATGTCAAATTTGAGATTCAGCATGAGATGATTATATCCTAACATGTAGAAAAATGTTCAATTATGTAGCTAATTGAAAAGCTTAAAAAAAACTTTATAAAATGCAGTAAGGATTAAAAAAAGGTAAAGCTTTGGGTTTTAAATTTTTAAGTCATATGGAGTTACATTTTGTACCCATTTATTTCTTTCTAGCTATTTCTTATTGCATAGAGTATTTAGACAAAACCGATTTGGAAATTTACTAAATTTACTCTACAAAATCCTGTTTGGAAATCCTGAAGTTTGTTTTATACTTGTTCATTTATACTCCAGTTTCTATGCTACTGCTATCACCACCTCCTGAAATGTACCCTGCACACAACTCACTCATATTCAAACACGAATCGAGGCCCAACACCAGTACTTGGCTCTTCTTTGGGATTTTCAGTTGTCTATATTTTAAACGATGTCACCAACCTATGTTAAGAAAGTCACAAGACCTAATCAAATGTAGGCAGAATAGAATGGTTAAAAGAGGTGGGGATTCTATTACTAGCTTTTAGATTAGTTAGCCATGCAACTTTTATCCATCTATCACATAGCTGTTTAATTATTTTAAACTAACGGTTGCTGGAAGTTACCAGGCAGGTGCTATTTATAGCAAGAAAGATGACCTGGTTATTATCTTCAAAAAACCTTTAAGGGTATAAAGGTCTTATACAGATTCTTCAATCAAAAGTCAGAGAAGTTGGACTAGATTACTTCTGAACTCCCTTAAACTCTAATATTCTATAAGTACAAGGCCAGATACTGTGCTGGTCTAGAGCAGTGCTTTTAAATTTTAATTTGCCAAGAATAACCTAGGGATCTTGGTCAAATGAAAGTTCATATTTAGAAGGTCTATGATGGATCTGAGATGCTGCAATTTTGACAAGCTTCTAGGAAGTATAAGTATCAATGTTGCTGGTTCCTTAGACATACTTTAAGTAGGAAGGTACTGGAACCAAAGCTATACCACACGGTTATATATTTTCAAATAATAAATACAAGTTTTATTATAAACATTATTTGTTTTTTCAGTAAATATCAAGCCTCGAACATCTCTTATGCCTTTCCTAAATTGATTTTGAACTGTCTTTACCAGTATAATATAAATTAAAATTATGCCAGTCCAGGAAATATTTAGTGCAGTGAAGTTATTCTGCATAATAAAGTAATGGTAGCTACCTATCATACATTTGTCAAAATCCATAGAATTTACAAGACAAAAAGTGAACCCTAATGTAAACTATGAATTTTAGTTAATAATAATATATCAATTTTGGTCCCTCAGATATAACAGCTATATCACAGTAATGCAAGCTATTAATAGGAGAAACTTGGTGGGGCTAAGAGATGATACAAGAATTCTACTTTTGGCTCAATTTTTCTATTAACCTAAAGCTGCTCAAAAAATAAAGCCTGTTAATTAAAAAAAATAATACAGGCAAATGTTACTTAAGTTTCTTATGGCAAATGTTCCAAGGTCTATTATAGTTCAAGGTTTCATCCAACGATTAATGAATGCAATAACTTTTTATGTTTCTCTTAGTTACATTATATTTTTTTAGGTGTATCATGCTTTCTAAATCACATTTTATTTAAAAGAAAAATAGGTAAATTGTTAAAATCTCCAAAAAGTTGAATAATTCTTGTGTCTATTGAAACATTCATAAATAGAGTAACAAAATAAATAAACTCAGATTTTACATGTATACTTCACTCTCATTTCCTTCAAGTTAATTTTTGCAATGGGAGCTGGGTATTATGAAGTGGTCACACAAAGCAGTTTCTTTTCTGATAATTTAGAAGTGAAGATAGTAACCATTTAATTATAGTAGTTAAATGGAATTTATCCATCTATACTTTTTCTCAATATTATGGCTATATTTGACCTACCTTTCTAATTTTTAAAGCTTGTTTGGTTCATTTTGAGAGGGGAAAAAAAAATGAGAAGGGTTGGGAACAGAAAGTTCAAAGAGAGCCCAAATAAGTACACTCAGCAATTTTGTGGCCTGCTGGTTTAAACTGCCCTGATTTATGAAGATTCATATTTCCACATTGTCCAGACTGGTCTAACTCATTTAGACTAGCCACTCATTGCACAACATTGACCACATTCTTTGAATAAAACATGCAGTGAGGGCCGGGAGTGGTGGCTCACGCCTGTAATCCCAGCACTTTGGGAGGCCGAGATGGGTGGATCAAGAGGTCAGGAGATCAAGACCATCCTGGCTAACACGTTGAAACCCCGTCTCTACTAAAATTACAAAAAAAAATTAGCTGGGCGTGGTGGCGGGCGCCTATAGTCCCAGCTACTCAGGAGGCTGAGACAGGAGAATGGCGTGAACCCGGGAGGCGGAGCTTGCAGTGAGCGGAGATCGCGCCACTGCACTCCAGCCTGGGCGACAGAGCAAGACTCCGTCTCGAAAAAAAAAAAAAAATTGCAGTGAAAGATGTGAACCACGAATATGTGCTGCTATTCTTGGGTTACACATATTCTATAAAACCATGTTTGAGAGACCATCTTTGTTTTTGTATATTTGAAGCTTGCATAAAAGAAGCTTAAGCTAGATGGAATAAAGAGACCCATTTTTCTCTTCTCCCTACTCCTACAAACTTCTATCATATTAGGACAGTTGCCACCTAGATTTTTTTCCTTATTTTTCATATGTATTGTGTAACTGCAAAAAGTATCTTAGGCCTTGTTATAGAAATATGACGAGTATAACTACAACTACTAATAATAAACCTGCCTTTTTATCATTAAACTTGGTATCTACTAAATCAATGGTTTTCAAACTTTGGTGTGCTTCAGAATCACCTGGAGAGTTTTTTCAAAGCCAGATTTCTGATATTCTCCATCCACGGGCATTCTGATTCCGTAGGTCAGGGGCGGGGTTTATGAATTTGTATTTCTGACAAGCTTGTAGGAGATGTACTAGTGTTTTTCGCCTCAGGAACACAGTTTGAAAAACCACATATTTAACCAAAAAGTTGATAACAAATTTTGCCAAAGCTTCAAGGGATTAAAAGGTTTTCACAGTGGGGAGAGATTCCAGTTATGACACTTAGGACCAAGTTACAGTTAGGGCCAAGTTTTCTTCCTGGAATCTTTTTAGAAGAAAGCAGTGAAGGGGAGAAAAACTGCTTGCCATTCTACATGTTTACACTGATACTCAATTTTCTCTCAAACTTTTGCTGCACTAAAATTACAAGTAACTTCTAATACACTCTTGACTTTATAGATGCATCTACTTACCCATCTGTAGGTGGATAGTATTTTCTGAAATATGTGTCACAGTCATTGATCTGTAAAATATATGTTATATTTAGTTCTACCTTTTGTCTTAGAAAAGAATGCATGAGAAAATGACAAATGGGACATAGGTAACTTATGTAATTTCCATAGAGAACATGGGGTGAAGTGATGATGAAATTTGTAGAATTTCTATTTGTATGTCCCATGGGGGAAAAAAATTATAGCCCCAACTACTCCTCTGGAGCAAAACACATAATATGCTCCATGGCAAAATCAGGGCATATTTTTTTTCTTCCAGGTTTTCAGTTTGAAATTGTAATGAATGGACTCAAACCAAGACAAAGTATTAAAAACGTGAAACAGAAAATCTTTATGCCTTGATAAAGACAGCCATAAAACATTTCTGTTAATCACATTACTGAGTGCTTACTTTAAACAAACAAAACATAAAAGATAATATTAAAGATACGGTTAAATATAAGGATGACTCAGAATGTGATAAATAAGACTTTTTCAATTCATAAGAGCTGATGCTCATTGTACCTATGTTATCTTATAAAATAAGTGTTGTATTTGTGTTTCATTTTTTTTTAAGACAAGGTAAAAATTGAGTGGGAGTTCTGTGAACCACTGACCTCCTAACAGCTTTGATTTCACAAAAATTCACTTGCCATAGCAATAATGGGGATGCATAATTTTTATTCTTATTTAAATAGCAGAAAATACAGTCTTCACCCAAAGCACAGTGTGAATGTCTATTAATATTTTAAACTTAGTGATTAAAGGAATTTTAGAGCTGAGGTGAAAATGAGATGCTATAATGTGATTTTGAGAAAAGGGGTATGCATCATTGAAGAATTTTAGGCTGCAAGACAGGCAGAGCCAGGGAATGTTAGTGGATTTTACTTCCTGGAGGTCTGCCTGCTTTCAGTACATTCTTTGTTATTATATACCCTAATTTTGTATTTATTCCTGTTGTTAAAAATGGAGCAGTTAGTGTTAAAAATGATCATCATTTATTGCTTGTTGCTTTAATGTATTTCTGTATACAAGTGTTTCTATTTTTAAGAGTGTAGGCGATATTTAGGAATGAATTTAAATTATGGTTGTCATCTCTTCAAATTAATTATTTAACGTGTAGAAATTAATTCATGCAGAAGAATCAGTTTTCAAAGCCAAAGAAGGATGGGAAACATTCACTCTCTTATGCTCCATATGAAGTTGAGTGTTGATTACTAAAAATTATTCTTTTGTGGTAAGTTTGCCACATGTCCTACAAATGTACATGAAAACTGATTACCTACACCTCATGGTCCTGAATCTTTTCCTTTTTATCTCTGCTTCAGAATTTACAATTCAGCACATTATTTGTGCTTTGCTGATATGTACAGTACTGTGTTTTGCTTCATTTACCATATTTACTCACATATTGTTCACTATTGAGTAATTGCTGTCTGTAGATTTTTGTATAGGTTAATTTGAATCGAGCAGCTTACAAAGCAAGAAAGAAAAGGGCAGCAATTACACAAGTAAATACAGCATTCTGTTTAATCAGTATGGTGGCACTAAGTATCAAAACGAACATTCGTTTTATCTATTTCTTGACATTTTCTGTTGCTATTGTTTCACAGAAAAAAGGAGACAGACAAAAACATAGTAAGTTGGTTTGTACCTTACTTGTCACTGATAACTTCAATTTTTATCTTCTTTATTCTTTCCCGAAGGGATTGACATTGGAGTTCAATGCAGATATTTGTGTGTACATATATATTGTGTTTCCACATTTTAATTAAAAGGGTTATCTAATTATGTATTCTGATCTGCATATGTAAAAGTTTTAGAATGTGTACATAAATATACATGAACCACATATGGATTTTAATAACAGTCGTTAATATTTTTAAAGTTTTTAATTTGCTAAAAAGTCTCAAAAATCATTATTATTCTGGAAAGCAAGAAGCAGGTTTAATTATTTGCGAATGAAATAATGCAGCAGCCTTTTTTTTTTGAGACAGAGTCTCTGTCGCCCAGGCTGGAGTGCAGTGGTGCAATCTCAGCTCACTGCAAGCTCCACTTCCCGGGTTCGCACCATTCTCCTGCCTCAGCTTCCCGAGTAGCTGGGACTGCAGGTGCCTGCCACCACGCCCGGCTAATTTTTTGTATTTTTAGTAGAGACGGGGTTTCACTGTGTTAGCCAGGATGGTCTTGGTCTCCTGACCTCGTGATCCTCCCTTCTCGGCCTCCCAAAGTGCTGGGATTACAGGCATGAGCCACCTCACCCAGCCCAGTCTTTTAAAATACTTCCATATTATAGCTTCATTTAACCCTTATTTATATTGAAGTTTAATAGAATTGTTCATATATAAAGATTTTTGCGTATATGTATATATTTTAGAGGTCATGTTGAAACGGGAGAGTTTCCTGACCCCCTTGTGAGATGGGCAACTGGGGTGTGTCTTTTTTATTTGGCTGGGCTCAAACCCCTTATGGGAGAGAGAACACACAGGTGAGCAGGTACAGGAGCTGGGGCGAGCGCTTTGGGGCTTCAACCCCACGGCAGTGTCTCGGGGTGTTACAATGCTCTTTTAGCCCTGTCATCCGGTAACAGCTTAAGTGTTAAGCAGCTCAGTGAAGAGTCAGTGTGACAGCCTTTTTGGGTTCCCGCACCCAGTGCATCCTGAATTCTTCTCCTGCGTCCAGGAAGAATCAGGATACATGGACTTGAAGGAAGGTGAATGCAGGGATTTTATTGAGAGATGGAGGTGGCTTTCAGCAGGATGGGGAATTGGAGAGGGGATGGAGTGGGAAAATGATCTTCCCCCGGAGTTCGGCCATCCTAAGGCAGATTTCTTCTCAGACCTCCAGACAAACTCCTCTTGATGTTCAGATGCTTTCTCTCTTTTCTTCTCTGCCACCCTACTCTTCTCCTGTGCCACTCTACCACTCTTCTGCTCATGGTGCCTGGGGCTTGGGGTTTATATGGGCACATTATGGGCAGGGGAGGGGTGGTGGTGCGTGGTGAGCCAGAAGACAGTATTTGGGCATGAAAGCAGGAATGCCTGTTCTCATTTAGGGCCACGGGTCCAGACTTGAGGTTGGAGCCCTCACCAGAGTCCTTGTCCTTCTGCCTCCTGTCTGTATCAATGTGACTAATTAATGAATCTTAGCTTTTGTCTGTTTGTAAACCAAAGATAGGAAAGGGAAATATAATAATCATGATTGGCCTACGAATAATAATCTAGATTCACCTCTGAAGCTATGGAAAGACTCAACCTACCCTAAAGCTCATGGTATTATGAATCTGCTAGCAAAGAAATATAATCAGGTGAGTGGCTATTGGATGTCTGCCTCAATTAGCAACTTCCTTTTTGCAACATAATTATTTTGGTTTCTGTCCTTGCCATTGCCCAGAGACTGATGTGGTCCCTCTAACATCCAACAGCATGCACGTCTCATTGCTATGCATTCTCTCAGTCTTAGTTTTATTTCCTGCATTTTGGGTTTTGTTTATGAATCTAATTACAGTGTAACCATTTACTCGTGTCTACTTAAGTAGACTTGACAGGTCCCAAACAATTACTTTCCAAAAGCTTTTACTTTGTCTTCCCTATCAGATTCAACTTTTGGCTTTTATTTCAATAAATCTATAGTACCTTCTTGAATCCTCTTTCAACCTCGTTCTTTCCTGTCCTTTGGCATCCGATTCCTGATAAGAGTAAATCTGCATTGCCATAAATTGTGTTTGAAAAATAAAATGAAATGAACTTATCATTATTATTATAGTTGAAGGTGTAAAATATTGCCAATAAACTAACACTACTGGAGAGATTTTTCTGAGAAATAGATTTTAAGTCTATTTCTATAGAGAAATTTTTAAATAAATTCATTTCACACATTTAAAATGTTACACATCAGAATCTTAAAGTAGCATTAGTAATTTGGAACTGATTTGAGATTGAAGAGATATTTATTTTGTATTATGTTTAAAAGCATATAGAGATAGTAGATTTAAAAAATTATATTTGAAAAATAATATATATGTCTTCTATATAAACATATATAAGAATATATATTATTTCTTAATTACAAAGAAATATAAACTATTGTTTTTTCTCTTTAATGTCCCCACCTTCCAACTTCTTGCCTGTATATTTATACATAAAACTACTATTCTTAGTTGACAAGTATTAGGACAGAGCTGAAATAAAGGGCTTTGGCTCTCCTGTCATGTATTTCCAGCATCACCCCAATTGATGGGCTCTAACTGGCTTCCTGAATGGTTTTCAACACTGTGTGTTCATTGTTCAAGAAGAGTTGTTAGAGCGTCCTGTGAAATGCAAACAGCAAAATTTGCTAATTACAACAAAAATGTCTTAAATATTTTCAAATATGTAATTGCTGTTGTTCTCTTTGAGGAAATGTGTTTTTTCTACGCCTACTTAAAAATCTCTTTGATTTCATATGATTTCTAATGTTTAAAAATTATCATTTTTGTGACTAAATTGGTACTTACTAGCCTACATAAAATGTTTTAATAGACTTTTTGGACACTAGAATATAATTAATTCCAAATAATATATATTTGCTTACATACATTTGCCTGTATATACTAGCCTTGATATAATCATATTTTGACATAATTTAATAATATATTGATTCACTTAGGACTCCATTAATGAGAACCTCAAGACTCAAGGATAGCATTGCCAAAAGTGCTGTAATAAAAAACTTAAAAAAAGAATTCATCTAAAATTTCTCCAAATAAGAGAAATACATGTTTTATTACGATATAAATGAAAGAGGTCACGAACATATTCTATTTACTCAAAAGAGTAGTTGGGAAATTTCTAATCAGTACCTTTGCCCGTTTCCCCATCTTCTCCATCATGCATGTTTCAACAAATTAATTCTAAATAGAAAGTGATGTAGGGTTCAAAAGAGAATGTTCAGCTATAAATTACCAGACTTAATGATTCTCTCTTGGGAACGGTAATGGTTAGTCAAAAGAGCTGAAGCAGTAAAATGTTTTTATCTTGTTCACATGAACTATTTTCAGCTCTTGTTTTCCTTTTATTTTTAGTTGATGCATAGTAATTGTACATATTTATGGGCTACACAGTGTTATTTCCATACATTTATACAATGGGTAATGATCAAATCAGGTAATTAACATATCCATTACCTCAAATATGTATCTATTTTGTGTGTGTTTGGAACATTAGAAATCTCCTTTATCTTTTTGAAAGTACACAATAAATTATTTTTAAATATATTCTCGCTATGGTGCTATTGAACACTTGAACTTATTCCACCTATCTATCTATAATTTTATATCCATTAACTTAACTCTCATTATCCACCCCTCTCAGTCATTTTTGTTTTAAATCACCAAGTGTTGGGTTGATCAGATCCAACACCAGGTCTTGGGGGTGACAAAGTCCAGTGGAGTCAAAGGATTGAGAAAAAGACAGTTTGAGAGATAAAGGTGGGACACCAGGGGGCCATCGCCATTGTGGAGGCTGTGAAGGCCCTGAGCTCTGGGAGCCCACCATATTTATTGGTAATCCAACAAATAAACAGGTGGTGATAATGTGGAGGTCTAAAGGGCAGGCACATGATCTACAGCTGTGACAGTTTAGCATTTATATGGAACATGTTCTGCTACTTGAGAAAATGGGAATAAGAGCCTAAGAAGGCTAGAAGCAAACGGCCAGCAAGTCTAGACACATTCCAGAAGACCTTATGCAAGCCGTGCCTCAGTTTTCCTCCCAACACTCAGCTTTTTCTCAACAACCATGTGCAGGCATAATGCAGCAATAATATCCTGATTTCAGGCTATCTTTTTTTTTTTCTTTTTTTTTATGTTTTGAGACTGAGTCCTGCTCTTTCACTGGGGCTTGAGAGTAGTGGCATGAACATGGCTCACTGCAGCCTCGACCTCTTAGGCTCAAGCAATCTCCCTGCCTCAGCCTCCCATGTAGCCGAGAACACAGATGTGCACCATCACACACAGCTTATTTTTTGTAGAGACGTTCTTATTTTGTTGCCCTGGCTGATCTCCAGCTGCTGGGCTCAAGAGACCCTACTGCCTCTGCCTCCCAAAGTGCAGGGATTACAGGCATGAGGCACTGAGCCCAGGCTTTATACTATTTTTTTAAAAAAATATCAATATGTTGTTTTATTTTTTTAATTAAAAAATAACTTTTGTGGGTACACCGTAGGTGTATATATTTACGGGGTGCATGAGATGTTTTGATACAGGCATGTAATAAAAAATAATCACATAATGGAGAATAGGGTATCCATCCCCTCAAGCATTATCTTTTGTGTCACAAACCATCCCATTACACTCTTATAGTTATTTTAAAATGTACAATTAAGTTATTATTGACTATAGTCACCCAGTTGTGCTTTCAAATGCAGACTATCTTTTAAGAATTTTGTGTAATAAAAATTTCCATATGTTTCTGTAAAGTAGAGGAAGTCTGGGAAAAGATCCAGAACTACCTGCTTTAACAGGAACATGAACATAGCTCCCCCAAAGAAAGACATTGACATGCTAAAATTATTAAAGTGATAATTTGATATTATATATATGTATATATTTGAGACTGAGTCTTGCACTGTCACATGGGCTGGTGTGCAATGGTGTGATCTTGGCTCACTCTAAACTCCACCTCCTGAGTTCACACCTGTTTATCCCACCTATTTATCAAATTATTTCTAAGAGGAAAAGGATTCATAGGATGTTTCCATGTATATGACTAATTTGTATATCTAAATTATATTTAATCTACAGAATCCTTGTTCGGGACCATTAACACCAAGAAATATTTGAGTTGAAACATTACTCACTGATGTATTGGAACTATATATATATATATATATATATATATATATATATATATATGTATAATAAGTTTGTAGCTACCATTATTTGAGGGTAAATGCCAACATTTATGAGAAAACACATCTGACTAAATGGCTGGTCCAACAATTAGTCCAATAATTAAACTGGGTGGAATGTGGTAGCTGAATATGTTTTGTGAATTAAAATTGTCTTATGAGAAGATATGCCCACCATTCTCCTCTTTGTAATTTGTTTACTAGATTCTAGATTTTTGAGAGGTTAAGCGTCTAGGTTTTAGCTTCTTTTCAGAGTACAAAAGATAACAGCTGGCCAATCAATCCATATAATAGTCTAAAAGTCAACACTAGATAATAATACCCTTTATAAAAGCATTCAGTTTGAGTCATCACCTTCTGAATTAATTCTAAAATATGAGGAAATGACACAGCAGGTATTGCTTGTGTTTGAGATCCTTCAATTGTAATGTAACAGCTATATTATCAAATCATCCTTGGAAACTGCTATCTTCCAGCAGTTTATGAAAGTCATAATAGTGCCAGCATTATCACCAACAAATCATCTATTTCATGCAAAAACTTCTGTCATCATTTTGAATCCGTTTAAATCTCTGTGTGCAGACTATTTAAAACATGTTTCCTACTAATAGTTAGTTGCATTTTACTTTGATTAATTCTAACATTAAGGGAATAATCATTTTTCAGTCCTTATACGTGAAACATGGAAACCTTTGTTTTGTGCATTCTGCAGCTATAACTTCAATGGAATTGAATGACTTGTGATATCTCATTCAAAGCTAGGAAGAAAGTTGTTTCTAGTTAACTCAGGGATGGCTTTTGCATTATTTCAACCATAGTTAGGTACTTATTCCTCTTGTTATTCTCTTAGTGCTGTTCCATAAATGACTACTAAGTCATCTTGTCCAAAATGTGCCATAATTAGTGTGATGCTGGTTATTTCACTATGAACTGTTGAGTACTTTCTCACATGAATTATAGAATTCATATTGACCAAAAGTGTGTGTATAATTTATACCTAAATTGTAAAAAAAAAAGGCACAGAGTAAAGTGTTCATGAAAATATATATACTTGAACTTAAATAGTCAATAATAGCTAAACTACATTTTCATCAAAGGTAAAATGCAAAAATTGAATATATATGATATATAATATATATATTATTTTCATATATTCATATATATTATATATAATATATATTATATTTATTTTATATAATACATATTCCCCTATGGGAATAAGTAAGGCTTATATATATATATAGATATATATGATATATATGATATGTATCATACTAATATATACTAATACATATTCCCCTATGGGGATATGTATTAGTAAGGCATATATATACACACACATAAATAAATAATATATATGATATATATGATATATACATTATACAAAATAAAAATAATATTTATTATATAAAATATATAAAATATTTACATATAAAAATATAAGAATTATATAAAATATATAATATATCATATATAATATATCATATATATATATATCAGCCTTACTAATACATATTCCCATAGGTGAATACATAGGGAATATGCATTATGTAAAATTAATTGAAAGGCATTTACGTGTCAAGCTCCATCCATTATCCATTTCGTCTTGCACCATGCAGTTTTTCTTTTACACTCTTTTGCCTCTTTAGGTTACTTAGGTTATTGATAGTATTAGGAGTCACTACGGAAACTTAATCAAGGAATTTGCCCTAATTCTTGAGGTGAAAATCATTTTCAGGGCCACTAATAGTAGTCAAATTCTCTGATCAATACTTTAAATATAGACTTGGAAAAATATTCCTTTGGCTCAAAATGTTTTGGTTTTAGTTTACTTGACTCTGGTTTGACAATAACATATTATATGAATTTTGAAAAATCTTCATTTGAGAGTTCAGCGAATGTTTCATTCTGCTATGGAAGCAGCAAATAAATAATGAGAAGGTCCTGTATATGCTATTAGAAGAATGGGTCTGTGTTCTGGCTCTGCCATGTTCTAGCTGTGTTCTATTAGAAAGGTCTAATAATCTGTACGTGTTTAGTTTCATCATTTATATCAATATCGCTTTCATAGTATTTTATATGATGCAACAATACAACATATGTTAGAAAGCATTTTATGCCCCGCACGATGAAAACAATTGCATTCTTACTAGTTATGTTATGCAATGCTACATGCTCCAAAGTATAAAGGCACAGTCTCTGCCTCAATAAAGTAATAAATATGAGCAATCAACTGGTATAGGGTTTTAATTATATATCGTTAAATATAATATGTATTATTTTTATTTACTATAGACAGATAAGCCATGTTAACTTTTTTTTGATGCAAGTTATTCTTGTATAAAATGAAATGGTTGGTTATATTCATGGCATGAACTCAGATTTAAATATCATTTATTATTTGCTTCATATTAGTTAACATCTGCTAATTGGCCAATGTGTACCAAACACTGGGATAATCTTGAGAAATAAAAAGATAAATGATAAAGTCCCTACATTCCCATAGTAAAATGGAGGAGGTTGGATATATTATAAAACAATTATAATCTAGGACAAATATTAGCAAAGTACATCCATTGGTCAAATCTGACCCACTTCCTATTTGTGTATGTGTTGAGAGCAAAGAATGGCTTTTACATTTTAATATGTAAAATGTTATAAAAGCATTAGTATTTCTGAGAAAATAGTTGCTCATTTTGTTTCACAAACCCTAAAATACTATCTGGCTCCTTTTAGAAAAAGTCTGCTGAGTTCTGATTTAAAATGGTGATCAAAGTGAACAAATTATGCATAGGTTGCTTTGTAAATAACGGGATTAGATGGGGAAATTTTGAATGAACACATGATGGATCATGAAATGTGAATGATGTAGAGGAGTCAGCTAGGTAGGAGTGTGTGTGCATGTGATATGTTATGAAGGAAGACAAAGAGAACATTATGAAAATAAGCATGTGCAAGGGCATGGAATTGAAGGTGAGGACAAGTCCAGATAATTGCAGGTACTTCAGAAAGACTAGGGTACAGATCCTTTTATAGCTTTCCTAGGGTATTTGATCCTGAGCTTAGCAAAATCCTCCCGTGGAAAAATAATGGACAAATAAATTATGATCATGTTTCCTATTTAGAAGAAACCACTCTGAAGACAATAAATGTATTGACTCATGAAAGGAGGCTGGGCACAAGGGCTCAGGATGCCTGTAAGCCCAGTGCTTTGGGAGGCTGAGGTGGGAGGATTGCTTGAGCCCCATAGTTAGAGGTTACAGTGATCCATGATTGCACCACTGCACTCCTGCCTGGGTGACAGAGCAAGACCTTGTCTCAAAAAATAATAATAATATTGGAAGTGGAGGCAGAGATCATTATGACACTATTAGTGTAATTCTAACCAAGAATTGCGAATAAGGAGAAAGGGGGCGGTGGGGGGGAGTAAAAGGGAGAGAAAGAGAGGAGAAAAACAGAAAGAGAAAGAGGAGAAAGACAGAGAAAAGAAACAAAGAGGGGTGGGGGCATGGGAGAGATAGTAACTAGAAGAAGACAGATAAATAACACATTTGGAAGTTAGGATATATACTTGTTGTTGTACTTTTGTTACAGTAGAAGGGGCTTGATGCAAACACTCCAGCTGGAAATAAGCAGAAGGGATCTTGAAGGTAAACAGTATTTTTAAGAATTTGGCCTATTAAAGGAGCAGAAGGTACTAACTAAGACTAGGTGATGCTTCCTCAAACATAAAATAGGAACGATGTGATTATTTAATAAGGTTAACAAGAAGATTATGTTGCTTAATAAAGTTGTGCACCCATAAGCATGTCTTAGTCAATGATAGATCTCATATACAACAGTGGTCTCATAAGATTATAATATCACATTTTTACTGTACCTTTTCTATGTTTAGATACACAAATTCTTACTGTTGTGTTACACTTGCCTACAATGTTCAGTACAATAACATATTTCGCAGGTTTGTACCTAGAAGCAATAGGCTATACCAGATAGAGTAGGTGTGATGTAAGGGCATATTATCTAGTTTTATGTAAGAACACTGTAGGATGTTTGCACAATCTCAGAACTGCCTAACAATACATTTTTGAGAACACATATCTGTTGGGATAAGCAATGCATGACTGTAATTTAAAGGAATTTGAACTGTGCCTAATAAATACGAGCTAAATTAATATTAGCTATTTTTACCTCATTGGATAAGTTACAGAAACTAAATCTCCTGCTCTGCAAAATTAGGATAATAACACCTATCTTTAGGGTTTTCAGGGAAATGTTTGCAAGGAACATATATCACAAGATTGGTGCTCAATTAGTGTAGCTGCGTATGTACATGCTGAGAGGAAGGAGTCAGAAGTGTTAAAACACAGTGAAGCAGCAAATTTGTGATAGAGTGGTTGAAATAAAAAGGACCCTGAGGAGAAGGAAGGATTTATTTGGAGCCTAAACAAGCTGAATGGAAAGAAACATGGTTACTGATGATGATAATTTATCCCTAAGTGCAGGAAGTTAAGTTTGTTTGCTGAGAGTCAGAAGGGGTTGTAGGTGGAAAGTTTGTTGCTGAAATTTTGTAGTGGCTATTGAGAGGGGAAAAAAAAGAAATAAAAGTACTTTTGAGCTAGCTCCAGCTGAATTTGAACACCATGGTCTTATGCTTAATTGCATATATATATATGCCATGCTCTTTCTTCAGTCTAAATGAATAAATGAAGAGGAAGAGGTGAGGTTTTATAGAGTAGGCTAGGAAGGAAGATTAGAGGAGGTGGAATCAGCTGCTAACTTGAAGCATTATTGACATGTTCAATGACATGATCTCTTGAATGGAAATAAAACAGTGCCTAAAAGTGGCTTTCCTGAAATTGGGAGAACAGAAGACATTGGAAAAAAAAACAAAAGAGATTGAAAAAACAAAAGAGATTGGAAGACTGTGAATTTGAAGAACATGGATACTGGCAAAGGAGTGAGAGATCTAGAAGGACTTGGCCCAATCACTGGTAATTGACGTCAAATATACATTCAGAAGTATCAGTCCATTCAGCCTGTGACAACTTCTAGACGCAGCCATAGAAGTGGGATGCTAACATCTTCAGTGACTGGTGTTGGAAGGAATGTATAGAGCAAGCAGAGGCCAGAGCAGTCGCAGAGGGAGGGAGCGACCAAAAATAACAGACTGAGGGGCCTGCATTTTGGAAAAGGTTCAAGAATTTCTGCAAAAATTACCAATTTTGAGTACATAAACAAAAGTTTTAAGTGGGTCCCTCCACCCTCAAATCGTGAGAAGGGTTTGAATGGTTGAATTTTATTGTCATTTCCAATTCTGAAAGGCTATGATAATCATAACTGCAATTAGAGGTCATCATTTCATGTATTGGAGGAAAAGATCAGAATTATTTTTAGTAGCAGTAACAGAAATGTAGTGTACATAAAACAACACCAACAAAGTTTGCTGAAAATACAAATTCTAGACTCCAGTCCTGCAAATACTGGTTCAGGTGCTTTTGAAATGTCAGTAACATATATTTTCTAAAAAGCATTTCTTATAGCATTACATTCTTGTAATGTACATTCTTATTTTGCATTCCATTCTCATAGGCAGTTGATAAGCTCATAAGCAGGTATATAAACTAAGTTTTGAAACCTCTAATATCATCCTAGTATTTTAATCTTTATGTCCAAAGTCATAGTCATCTCATATCATTTAATACAGTTGACACTACCTAAGAAAAAAAGAATCTCATTATGCTCCAATTTTAGTGTTTGATATTCATTTGAGAAAAAAAATACAACAATACCAAATTCTAAGCACCCATAATAAATATTTGTGGTACATTTCATGCTATTTAATTAGAAGTATGAAGTATTTAAGAATTTATACATGTATTTAGGATAGGCAAATTTAGATCATGGGTTAAAAGAAAAACATACATTTATTTCTGAGTCCTCTTTTTTTTTCTAAAAAGCAGGATTTTTAAAGCTAATAAAATATTAAATATAGAATATGACATTAAAATAACTAGCTATCCTTTGAAGTCCAAATTTAGCCAATGCCTAGGGAATATCAAATGACCTGCATAAATTGTTTTCCCAGACATCTGTCTATAGTGATAATTTCATATGTATATATTCATTTATCTTTGTTAGTGCAAGGAATGTATATGTGTGTGTGTATGCATGTGTGTGTTCCTGTTTCAAATAGGCTGCTAAAATTACTTTTTTTTCCCCTTGTAGTTGGAGAATGAACTCAGTTGGGAAAATCATTATGGATTGCCTCATTAGAGGATTCTTGAAATTGCTTACTTGTGACTACCCGCCTGGAAAGCAATCTCTTGCTCCTTTGCCAGAGCATTGGAGAAGTAGGGGTTATTGAACCCTCTGTCATGTAAGGAGCTAGCAAATAAGGATGGGTTATGCTGAGAGAAAGCATACAACTCATTGTGAAGATGAATTCTGATTTGCATATTGCCCCGTAGACCCTGAGAATGGAATTGTTTTTTCCAATTATAGGTTGTATAGAAATATGGCTAGATTAACAATCAGTTTTTTCTTTGAATAGTGGTTTAGAGATACGAGTCTAACTTTCTCTGTGAATTGCATTATTTTGATGAATCAAAAGAGAACTTCCACAGGAAATGATACTTAGAATCATACCAGCACACATACATCACAGCACTCAGAAATTATAACTTGAAAAGTAACCAATTTGTTCTCCCGCTGGTGTCAAAGATATTCTTTTGGATCCCTGGGGTCAGGTTACATCCCTTAGACTTTTTTTGTATTTCCATTGCCTACCATAATTCCTGACACCTGTAGACAATCAGTAAATGTTGATTTAAAACTTACAGTATGAGTCGATTAAGTTTAGATTTTGCCAAAATTATTCTCTGCTAATTTTAGCAGAATCACTCTTATGATATTTACCTAATATCTACTAAAATTTTAACAATGTTTCTCATATTATTTTCAGTAGAAAGAAAAAACTTCTAGTATTATTCATTAATAAATTTATATTTTTAAAGATTTTCATTAATTATTTTTATCAGCTAAAATCAATGTGTAACTTAATTTATACAATGTCAGTTTCTTAATTTGGTGATATTTTAGACTTCAATTATCCTGGCTTACTATTTTCATTTTTTCTTTTACATGTGAGAGCACCAAACTAAACATATAGTACTTATTAACTTTTATTAGTTATGATTATCTTTGAAAAATTTGATATAACAGTATATTCATTCATCTATCCACTCAACAAATATGTACTAAGGGGCTATAATGTTTTAGAAACTGTTATACACATTGGGAATACAGTTATAAAAATCAAATTATTGCTTTATTTATCATATTACCTACACTTTGAATTCTACATTCCTATGACGATTATTGACTGCCCAAATTATAAATTATTTTTCTCTTTTGTTTTTATGCAGTCTCTTTAGTCTGCTTTTAAAGAAAATAAAACTTCATTCTACGTATTTCTGATAATATTTAAATTTAAAGGTCACTTTGAAGTCAATTTTAATATTACCCTCTGAGATTGTAGCCACTCAATTTAGTATTACCTAAAAACAAAAATAAAACTGCTGAACCAGGATTCCTCAGTTCGTAAGTTACTTGCTCAGGTTAATGTGACCCGTTTAAAAGCTAAGTAGTACCTCAGTGTCTTGCTGAGTCGCTTTGACTGTTGGTAATTTTTATCCACTTAACAGTAGAGGTGTTGTATAGTGGATATAAGAGTTACTAGTATATAATGATTGTTGCTAACTAGTCAGTAATTTATATTTGAAAATCATTTACATGTCTTGATTTTATCATTTATTTTATTTTATTTCATTTTTTATTATGCTTTAAGTTCTGGGATACATATGCAGAATGTGCAGGTTTGTTACATAGTATACATGTGCCATGGTGATCTGCTACACCCATCTACCTATCATCTACATTAGGTATTTTTCCTAATGCTATCCCTCCCCTACCCACACAACCCCCAATAGGCCCCAGTGTGTGATGTTCCTCTCCATGTCCATGTGTTCTCATTGTTCACCTCCCACTTATGAGTGAGGACATGTGGTGTTTGGTTTCCTGTTCCTCTGTTACTTTGCTGAGAATGATGGTTTCCAGCTTCATCCAGGTGCCTGCAAACAACATGGACTCATCCTTTTTTATGGCTGCATAGTATTCCATGGTGTATATGTGCCACATTTTCTTTATCCAGTCTATCATCGATGGGCATTGGGTTGGTTCCAAGTCTTTTCTATTGTGAATAGTGCTGCAATAAACATATGTGTGCATGTGTCTTTATAGTAGAATGATTTATAATCCTTTGGGTATATACCCAGTAATGGGATTGCTGGGTCAAACGGTATTTCTGGTTTTAGATCCTTGAGGAATCGCCACACTGTCTTCCGCAATGGTTGAACTAATTCACCCTCCCACTAGCAGTATAAAAGCATTCCTATTTCTCCACATCCTCCCCAGCATCTGTTGTTTCCTGAATTTCCAGTGATGGCCATTCTAACTGGCATGAGATGGTATCTCATTGTGGTTTTGATTTGCATTTCTCTAATGACCAGTGATGATGAGCTTTTTTCCATATGTTTTTTGGCCGCATAAATGTCTTCTTTTGAGAAGTGCCTGTTCGCTTCTCTTTTTCACCCACTTTTTGATGGGGTCGTTTGTTTTTTTTCTTGTAAATTTGTTTAAGTTCCTTGTAGATTCTGGATATTAGCCCTTTGTCAGATGGATAGATTGCAAAATTTTTCTCCCATTCTGTAAGTTGCCTGTTCACTCTGATGATAGTTTCTTTTGCTGTTCAGAAACTCTTTAGTTTAATTAGATCCCATTTGTCAATTTTGGCTTTTATTGTCATTGCTTTTGGTGTTTTAGTTGTGAAGCCTTGCCCATGCCTGTGTCCTGAATGTTCTCCTTGAAGAGGTCCTTCACATCCCTTGTAAGTTGGATTCCTAAGTATTTTATTCTCTTTGTAGCAATGGTGAATGGGAGTTCACTCATGATTTGACTCTCTGTTTATCTATTATTGGTGTATAGGAATGCTTGAGATTTTTGAACATTGATTTTGTATTCTTAGACTTTGCTGAAGTTGCTTATCAGCTTAAGGAGATTTTGGGCTGAGACGATGGGGTTTTCTAAATATACGATCATGTCATCTGCAAACAGAGACAACTTGACTTCCTTTCTTCCTATTTTAATATGCTTTATTTCTTTCTTTTGCCTGATTGCCCTGAAATACTCTGTTGAATAGGAGCAGTGAGAGAGAGCATCCTTGTCTTGTGCCGGTTTTCAAAGGGAACACTTCCAGTTTTTGCCCATTCAGCATGATATTGACTGTGGGTTTGTTATAAATAGCTCTTATTATTTTGATATAGTTTTCTTTGAAAAGTACATATTTAAAATAAATTTACTTTTATGTTAAAATAAACCAGAATAAATTTGAAAGTGAAAGCAGAAATTCTATAAATCAAACATTTTAAAGTAAACTTTTTTATTTTAGCAATTTTAAGTTTATAGCAAAAATAAGCAGAAAGTGCTAAGATTTCCCGTGTACTCACTGCCTTCACACACTCATAACCTCTCCCACTATTAACATCCTTTGCCAAAGCGGTACATTTGTTAAAATTGATGAACCTACATTGACACATCATTGTCACCTATAGTCAATAGTTTACACTAGGGTTCACTCTTGTTACTGTACGTTTATGAGTTTGGAGAAATATATGTTGAATGTATTCACATTATAGTATCATACAGAACATTTTCAGTCTTAAAAATCTTTCTTCTGCCTATTCATTCCTTCCTCTCCTCTAGTCCCTGGCAACCAGTGATCTTTTTACTACTGTCTTTATAGTTTTGCCTTTTCCAGAATGTCATGCAGTTGGAATCATATAGTATGTAGCCTTTTCATGTTGGCTTCTTTCACTTAGAAATATGCATTTTAGTTTCCTCTATGTCTTTTCATGCTTTGATAGCTCATTTCTTCTTAATGCTGGGTAATGTCTCATTATCTGGCTATATCACAGTTTATCCATTCACCTACTGAATACTGAAGGACATCTTAATCGCTTCTAAGTTTTGGCAATGATGAAAAAGTTTCTGTAAACAGCTGTGTGCAAGTTTATCAGTGGATACAGCTTTTAACTCCTTTGGGTAAATGCCAAGAAGTGTGATTGCTGGATCAGTGAGAAAAGGATGTTAAGCTTTGTAAGAAACTGCCAGCATGTCTCCAAAGTGGCTATGCCACTTTGCATTCCCATCAGCATTGAATGAGTGTTCCTGTTGCTCCATATTCTTATCAGCATTTTGGTGTTTCAGTGGTCTGGATTTTGACCACTCTAAGAGGTATGTAATGGCATCTCACTGTTGTTTTAATTTAAATTTCCCTGATGGCATATAGTTGGAGTGTCTTTTAATATGCTTATTTGCCGTCTACATAACCAACATGTTTTTCTTTAATAAGTATCATTATTTAAATATATTTAAATAAATAGGGCTGTGGAAATCCTTGTTACTTAAATGAGATTCAAACCTCCATATATTAGAACGTTTATGTTAGCCTCTCCATTTATTGTTCCTTTTTTCTAAATATAAAACTCCATCAGAAGCAACTCATAGAAATCTTTCCTTCTTCTTAAACTATGTTGTTATAAGTCACATATTGGCTTTTAAATTAAATTTCATTATTTTCTGATTATAAAAAGAGAACATTATCATTACAGAAAAGTTTACTGAAGAAAAGAAAAACCACTTGTTACTTTATTGTGCAAAGTATTAACAACTCTCACAAATGTCCTACAATTATTATATTTAAAATTATGGTTAATGCTTTAATATATTTATTGCTTTCAGTACTTTCTCAACAATAGAAAAAATAATGTGATTGGAATACAGAAAATAGATAACTTTGAATTCTTATTTATTTATTGCTTACTATTAGTCTTTGATCATATTTCTAATCACTAAAAATCTATCCAAAATATTTTTATTACCAAATTCATACCATGATCTTAACAAAAAAATTTACTTATCTTTTTAAGACATTCAATTGGTTTCCAATATTTCATTTTCATAGAGTAGATAATACTGCAAAGAAAATCTTTAAATATGGATCATTATCTGTATCTTATGCATGTTGGGTTCCAAGTCGTGGTGTTTGAAAAAAAAAAAACACGTTTGATACTTTTCAACAACTATAAATCAAGAGTAGTTGAATACATTCTTTGGCAATAGTCTTAACCAAAGTTATGGTTAGTGATTCCCTCTTATGGGCAGTCATAGATTTTCACTCCTGTACAATTTCTAAGAAAAAAAGAGTAATAGTTAAGTGTTTGGTACCATATTTGTGAAATAAAGTATTTAAACATTTTTGCTATTTAGGGTAAATGTTTTATTTTTATATGGGCAGTATCTGCAAAAATAGACATAAAGGACACATTGATAGATCTTTCCTTTCCTTTTCATTTTCCTTTTCCTTTCTTTTTTGAGACAGGGTCTCACTCTGTTACCCAGGTTGTAGTGCAAGGGCATAATCACAGCTCACTGTAGCCTCAAACTCCTTGGCTCATGTGATCCTCCTGCTTCAGCCTCCCAAGTGTCTGGGACTAAAAGTGTGAGCCACCATACCTGGATAATATTTATTTATTTATTATTTATATTTTTTGTAGAAATAGGCTCTCACTATGTTACCTAGGCTGGTCTTGAACTCTTGGGCTCAAGTGATTATCTTGCCTCGGCCTCCCAAAGTGCTGGGATTACAGGTGTAAGCCACCATGCCTGGCCTCATCTTATTTCTTGATAAATATGATTGCATTTTAACACCTGCTGTTCACAAAGATAGAGCTCGATAGATAATTATCATGTAACTGGAATTCAAAATGAGTTTTGGGAAATGTATTTTGAAAGGATAAAAGAAAGTTCACAAGTGACTTAATAATGACTTATAATGACTTTTTTTTTTTTTTTTTAACGGAGTTTCACTCTTGTTGCCCAAGCTGGAGTGTAATGGAGCAATTTGAACTCACCGCAACCTCCACCTCCCAGGTTCATGCGATTCTCCTGCCTCAGTCTCCTTAGTAGCTGGGATTACAGGCATGCACCACCACTCCTGGCTAATTTTGTGTTTTTACTAGAGATGGGGTTTCACCATGTTGTCCAGGCTGGTCTCGGACTCCTGACCTCAGCTGATTTGCCCGCCTCGGCCTATCAAAGTGCTGGGATTACAGGTGTAAGCCACTGTGCCCGGCCAATGACTTGATTTTTGACTGAAACTGGTTTAATGTAAATTAATTTATTGTTATTTATAAGTTGCAAACAAATTCTTCTATTTTTTTGTTTCATAAATTTTCTATGTAATAGTGAAACTAATGATTTAGCAGTAAGTCAGTATGTTTTAATCATATTAATTCTTTAAGCCAAAATTATTGCAGCCAGTTAACTCAATCAACAGTTTCATCATCCAGTATGCCATGTGTTTTGGGCCACTTGACTCCCCCTAAAATTTCCATGGACTGTCCCTAAAATCTTCATAGATTTTATACAAATAAAGAATATGTGCTAAAAAGGAACAGGTGTGATGGTATTTGCATTCTGAAAATTTTCTGTTCAGAATATTCAGTTATCAGGTGCATTAAATAGAGGGTTAAAGCAATTTAAAGTCAGACTCAAAAACATCTTCCTACCTGTATAATGTAAAAGCCAGGTGAGTTTATTTAATGTAAAACATTTTATAAATCAAAGTAGTTATTTCATTTTAATACATTATTTTTGGATTATTTCTTCCTAACAATATTCCATTAGGAGAATTGCATACATGCAATATATTTTAGATTAAAGGGCACGATTAGTATGTTGCAATTATAAGAGGAGTATCTTAGAGTAAATGTGTTTTCTATGGCTTTTTCAGATGAGCTCCCTCTAAATTCATGAGTGGCTAAAGTAGAAAAAATAGCAGAAGTGCATACACTTGTGTCTAATTTATATCAAATCCCTTGATTTGCTTCCCAATCCAAAGAAGGTGCTTTTTTAATTTTAGTCATAATTAGGAAACGTGATTACTACATAACTGTAAAACTCAGAGATGGAACACACCCCACGTCATTCTTCAGCCTCTCATTTCCCTTCAGAACAGGCAGTACTTAACCTCTCCAGCCTTAGGTTTCCGACTGTAAAGTTAGTAGGTTGAACTGGGCCTCTCTTATGAACTCTTTTATCTAAAATTTTATTGATCTACTTTACAAAAGCAAGTGAGTATAAAAGCCTATTTGAAGAGACAGTTACGTGTAACAAATACACTACGAGGTTGGAGTCCAGGTCTTATTTTGCCATTGAAACATTGCGACCTTAGGTCTCAGTGTGGTCACCTTTAAATGACGGTCTCTAAGATTTCTGTCTTGTCTAACACCTGTGATGATAATATAAGCATTTGGTTTGCTTATGGGGGAAAAGGAACTATGTGACTTTTATACAATGACATTGTATAACATTGTTTAAAAATGGCAATTATCATGGCTCACGTCTGTAATCCCAGTACTTTGGGAGGCTGAGGCAGGCGGATCACTTGAGGTCAGGAGTTCAAGACCAGTCGAGCCAATATGGTGAAACCCCATCTTTACAGAAACACAAAAATTAGCCGGGCATGATGGCAGGTGCCTGTAATCCCAGTTATTTACGAGGCTGAGAGAGGAGAATAGCTTGAACTCAAGAGTTGGAGGTTGCAGTGAGCCAGCCTGGGAGCTTGAGCAAGACTCTGTCCCAAAAACATAAATAAATAAATAATAAAAAGACATATTTTATATCTTTATAGGATCTTTACAATATTGGTATCTTTATAATACCAATATTTTAATTATTAGATTTTTTAAATATACATAAACACATAACCATAATTCTCACATGTATTCAAGTATTTCATGTATTTTTCAATCTTCAGTGTTTTCATGCCTGGATTTTAGCATTCCTATCTTTTAAGTGATTAATAATTTTTGTAGTAATTAAATACTCAGTTTTTAATATTATGTTATTGACAAAATGAATATTATTAGAAACAATCTAATTCATAATGCCACTTAACATGATCATTAAGATTTATGGATTGATACATTTTTCACATTACAGTTCACAATTGTATGCTAGTAATTAAAATTATTGTCAATATTATAAATAAACATAATATTTATAATTTAATGTTTTTCTAGATTGATGCTGGTAGTCGGCAAAATTAACATCCATGAAATGCTTCATATTTTTGGTTGAGTTTTATATTACAGAGAGTCATATTTGAAATATAATCTACCATATTTAATTTTCCTCATCTTTATTTTGACTAACACTGCTTGGAAAGATAAATATGAAATTGATTTTTATCCTCTCTTTATTAACATTCTGGATTTATAATCTTGATCCCAAATCCCCCAAATATGACAGTATTGCCTAAGTTCCAGGAAAATACAAACAACCACATACCTCAAACATATTTTTACAAAGGAAATGTCTTCCTTGTAGAAAGACACAGTGGTGGCAAAAAGATAATTACATGTGAAAGAAATGATGTAGCTTAGCTTGAATAGAGTGGGAGGTTATGACACGTGGTGAGAGAAATACATGAAGAATCACATGGAATTGATTTAAAAAGAAACTTTAAACAATGCAGAATTGAGAGGAGTGACTAGAAGAAAAAAAGATGAGGAAGTAAGGAACAAAGAAGAGAGGTGGAACTATAAGCAGAAGAACAATAAATTAGCTAAAAATAAATGCATGCAGAGACAGATACCTGATTAAGTCTAATATCATATTATTTATGTTTCATCCCTGCTGCCTCTAAATATTAGCTTATGTATACAAAACCAGAGAAGACATGTTGAAAATAGGCAAAATCTACCCATTATTCAGATTTTGTCCACACAATATTATCAGATACTGCAAAGAAGTTTTTATGCGCGTCATAAAAGAAACCATGTTAGTCATCTCAGTATTATATTTTCCTTGTTCTCTCTCCAGCCTCACCATTCTAATAGTGATGTTCTTTCCTTGTTGCTGACTTGTGAATATCTTTTCTTTTTCTTCTCCAGTTGTTCTTGTTCTTACATACTGACAGAATTCTCCTTCACACAATGAACTTTAAAATAATTTACACAAATGTATACTTCTGTATCACTTGATTGAATATAGCGGAGCAAATGACTACAGACTATCAAAAATCCTGCAAAGATGTCAAGGGCATTGATTTGTATATTAACAAGTACATGTACATTTATTACAAAGAAAAATAATAATTCACCTTTGCTTCAAAGCAAAGTGAGAGAGGGGAAGTAATCATGGTTAAGAATATTAAAAATTTAAAATAAAAGTCCACATTCTATTTAAAATAATGCTTATATATGAGTATATATATATATATATATATATATATATATATATATATATATATGAATATTGCCATCAGCTAAGAGGCCAGATTTCAGAGTTCAGGGATTGAAGATTTATTTTTGTTTTTGCAGCCCTTTAAGTGTTAAATATAGTATAAAAAAGTGACATAAGAATATATTTACAATATTTTCAAAAACCTAAGACAACCTGCATGAATATTTTGAAGAGAACTTCCAATGAGAAATAGGAAGAGTAAGAAAGAAATTATTAAAGAAATTGATATAATATCAGGAATCTCGTGGATTTAGGTAAATATAGATGCCATTTTGTGACAATATTTGCTGAGCATTTCTTCTTAATTTCCTGATATATTTAATATATAGTATGAATGCATATACAGGTATACTAAAAAGTTTTAAATTTATGTCTTGAAACATGGTAACTGCCTAAGTTATTTTAGTCAAACTTATAATAATCACTGTGTATCTTATAAAATAAACCAATACACTTAATTGTTTCACAAGTTACATTAAAATAAACGGGTTGATTTCAGAGCAAGATTGATCTCTTGTATACCTCAAATAGGGTGTGTTTGAAGCTCTGTGTTGCACAATTATTTTATATTGTTTCTTTTAATTAAATTATGAATTGTTAACCAAATTTAAATTACATGTGTCACACACCTCCTGTATTATGCCTAGCAATTACAGGAAAACATACTTTGCTGAATTGATGCCATGGAAGAAATTATAAGGAGACAATATATACTCATACTCATCAAACCAATACTTCAATTCAGTAATCTTTGGAACAGCTATTGTATAACCTCACTATTCTCTCCAGCCTCATTCCCATTTCTCTGCATCCGTTAACAGCCAAACTACTCAAAACAGGTATTTTCAATGCTTTCTCTTCTTTCTTTCTCCAACTCTTTCCATTCAGTTTTTATTCCCACTGCTTCACTATTTTGCTTTTGTCAAGATCACCAGTGCCTTCCACATTGTTAAATCAACTTTTCTATTTCTCATTTTTCATATTTCTTATTACTTGACCGATTTGCAGTTTTCTACACAACTGATTAACAACCTACCTCCATGTCTTGACTTTACTGCAATGTACCTGGCTGCCCTTTAACTGTCTCTTTGCTCCTTCCCTTCTCACTGATTTGTGACTGTGGAATATTCTGTGTCTGTCCCTGGATCTCTTTTTCCCTTGTGATCACTTGGTGATCTCTTCCAGCCTCATAGGTTTGAAGGTCATCTATATGCCGGCAACACCCAAACTTGTGTTTCTTGCTCAGGTATTTCGGTTGCCATCTACTCAGGATCTCCTCATAGATGTTAGATAGGTATCTCAGATTTAATGAGCCCCCCAAATTGCATCTGTTTTCCATTCCACTATCTCATTCCTTCCACAGTATTTACCATCTCAGTATTGCTGATTTCAGCTGTCCAGTTGCTTGGCTCCAAAGCCTAAGGCCAACCTTCTCTCTTTCACACTCCGCTTTCAACCTATTAAGAAATCTTATTGGCTCTGCTTTAAATTATATTGTTTCTGATTATATTTTAGCACCTATAGAACTTGTACTCTGACATAAGCTGCCAACATGTCTTTTCCGAAAAAGCTGCGTTTTTGGCTTCTATTCTTGAGCTTGCCCACCCTAAATCTATGCTCAATGCAGCAACCAGAGTGATTGTTTGAATATCAGAGTAACTTGTTTCCTTGCTTAAACCTTCTCAAAGGCATTCCACTTCTATCAAATGAAAATAAAATCTAATAAAAATATTAAAACTGGATTTATAAGTTGTCCAAACTCACCTCCCACTGCTCTTCCAGTTTAGTAACTGGCTTCTTGTCTTTTCCTACACACTCACACACACACACACACACACACACCCTTGCCCCAAGCCTTTCAACCTTACTGTTCTCTCCACATTTGGAATAAAGTTCTCTGAGATATCCCCATAGATCACTTCTTCAACTCTTTAAAATAACATTTTGTAAATAGAGCTTTCGTGACCACCTCATTTCGTTTTGCTGTTCCCAACCCCCATTCCCACAGTTCCTATCCTCCTGTCCTACTCAATTTTTATTATAGTGTCTGTCAACATATAACATACACTTGACTTGTTTTCTATATTATATGACTCTGAATTTTAGAAAATAAGCTCCATGAATGTCAGACTTTTTGTCATTCTAGCTTCCACTATATAGCCTGTATAAAACAATTCCTTGAACACTTTTATTTGTTTAATTAATTAATATAAGGCATTGAGGAAGAAAATATACACTGTCTCTGTCCAGTGGGAGTTGCAGTCTAGCACAGAAAATATTCTCATCATATTCTTCTTGAATCTGAGTGAGTAGATGTAAATTTTTAGAACAGTGTCTAGAGCATGATAAAGACTGTGTATATTATCAGTATTATTAGCCTCAAACTATCAACAATGTCATCATTATCATGATCATAACTATTACTAAATGAGTACATATACTGTGTATATAGTCCCAGCAACAACCCTGTAAAAGAGTAGTTTTTGATATCTTCGTTTTGTTGACGAGTAAACCGAAACTTAGGGAATTTCAATGATTTTCCTAAGGAAACAGAGATAGTATGCTACAAAGTTAAAATGAAAATTTAAAACACCCTGCATCCAGTGCTTGCAATTTTTCATTAAACTAGGCTGATTCACCATTAAGGGTGGCATAAAAATATTTTAACTTACTAATAAAATACTATATGCAGTACATAGTCATGAACGTGTATTTAAGTTGTATAAATTGTGCCACAGATGTGAAATGTAATCCAACAGAGTTCTCAAAATGTAGTTTGTGAAATGAGATCTAAATACATTGTCTGTAATGAGATTAAGTAGATAAAACATACTGTTGTATAAAAATATAATATTATAATATGTACATTTATAAATCTTAGCTTGAATTTGATTTGATTAATATTTTTTGAAAAACAATAAGAAATATGGTTTCTTGCCTTCAGGAACTTGCATTATTTATCTATGCATTTATCCCATCAATAAGCATTTATTAAATGCCTAAAATACATTAACATTTTGGAAATAAGAAGAAAACATAAAAGAAACTTCCATCTCAAGGAATTAATAGTGGGAGGGACAGAAATAAAGAGATGATTACTCTGCAATTTGATAAAGGCTGTGACTGAAGTACAAACAGAGTGCAGTTAGAGAACTGGTTGCCTTTTTAGAAAAGGTAACTATAACTTGAGGGTTTTAAAAAGCCAAGTAGATGAAAGTGAATAAATCTTTTTTTGAAACAAAATAAAACTGTACTGTTACATGCAATATACTACAAATTTATACTTTATTAGACTGTATTGCAAATATATGCATCCTGAAAACTTCAGACCAGAGATGAAGCTTCTACAAATATTTTACAAATATTTATCTGATCTTAATGATTTCAGGCGAGGTGTATGTACACTAGATAGTCATTAACTCCTGAGAGGTAAATAACTTTTTCATTCTACCCTGTGGTATCATTTTTGATACTTATTTTCTCTAGTAGGCTGTAAATTTATTAAAGATGAATATTAGCTTCTTCCTTCTCTTGACTCATCACTGTTTTTATTACAGGGTCTAAACACAGAAGAGATTCAGTGAGTGAATGAATGAAAAATGAACTGTATTACTCAGTGATACAAAATAAAGGTGTAATCTGAGCCTGGGTATTAATTTAATAAAAATTTACAGAAGAGTTATATATTCAGCAAAGTCTATAAGAAGACATAAAAATGCCCCATAGTTGTACTTTCAGTGCATTATTTATGTTAAAGCAAGACCATGGTCAATAGCATCTTTCCGAATGATGAGTTCCTCTGACTTCAGAAAATCTGTCTTGTAGCACCATTTAACCACTGACTCTTGCAGAAATTTAAACATTTGCTCTGCTTTTCAGCTTTTCTTGTTTGAAAAATAATTAGCATTTGAAGATAAGGATAAAAGGATTATTATAATATTTTATAAAAGTGTGTGTGTGAGTTTTTTTTGTTTTTTGTTTTTTTTTTTTTTTGAGACGGAGTTTCATTCTTGTTGCCCAGACTGGAGTACAAGGGTGCTATCTCAGCTCACCGCAACCTCCCCATCCCAGGTTCAAGCGATTCTCCTGCCTCAGCCTCCTGAGTAGCTGGGATTATAGGCATGGGCCACCACACCGAGCTAATTTTGTATTTTTAGTAGAGATGGGGTTTCTCCATGTTGGTCACGCTGGTCTCGAACTCCTGAACTCAGGTGATCCTCCCACCCTGGCCTCCCTATGTGCTGGGATTACAGGCATGAGCCACTGCACCTGGCCATGAACGATTTTTAGTGCCTCTTCAGTCATATATTTATACATCACTCTGGTAGCTAAATATTTAAATGACTTAAGCCTAATATGTATTGCATATATATATATATATATATATATATATATATATATATATGCTTAGTATATATTGAAATATATATTTCACTTTTATAGTTATAATTCATATGGTAATACAATTTGAAAATAGGCTTTGGGTTGAATTGTTGTGTTTTTTGTATTGCTATATTGGCCCCAGAGGAGTACCTCTATAATTCAAAGGAAAAGTGTCAAATATTGGGGACAAGTGCCACAAAACAGAAATCTACATCATCCTAGAAACTGTTGGGTGACTTCCAGTGGATATATGGAATGTGACATGAGAGAACATTTTAAATAATTCAGTTCTTGTCATTTACATTTTAGGTATTATAATTTGTGATAGCCTTACTGTAATGTTAATTCTATAGTAAATTAGTTGATTTTAAATTCCTTTCAGTATTTTCCTTCTGTTAAGCTTAATATTTCATTTGTTTATAATTTAGTTTAAACGTAAGGTTGCATTGTTCTGAATCATAAAGTTTTGCCCCTTATACATACAGGTAGTGTATTCTGTAGTCTACAGGAAGAATGATAAAGCAATGGTTACCCTTCACTTCATTAATCGTGTTTATTCAAGTTTGCATTCTATCTACAGCACACGTTGTGGCTACAAAAAATTGCCTAAGCATTTACATTTCGCAAACATGCTGACGAAATTTTTATTACCTACGTGCCCCTGTGCTGTGACTAGGCAAATGACATTCAGCCATACATCACAAACTGTTATACTGAATCAGAAACATTTCTGATTCAGAAGTCTCAAGGGTTTTATATATTTGTGTTTAAAGAGATGAGATGAATACATTATCTTTTTTCCATCTCTATGCAATTCTGGCCAATGCTAAAATGTAGTAACTAATTATGTGTTAGCCAATGTTTTTGACAGTGCAATAATGATTCTTATTTGTCTTTGGCTAAGACAAAGCAAAAATTGTATCAGATATCCTGACCCTTTCTATGTGGCAGATATATGAAAGAAAAGCCAATAAGCAAAACACACACAAAAAGACACAAGGTGATGATGATGGTTTAATTGCACAAAATCCTAGCAAATAGGCCGGCCGCTGTGGGTCACGCCTCTAATCCCAGCACTTTGGAAGGGCGAGGCGGGCGGATCACGAGGTCAGCAGATCAAAACCATCCTGGCTAATACCGTGAAACCCCGTCTCTACTGAAAATACAAAAAAAATTAGCCAGGCGTGGTGGCGGGCGCCTGTAGTCCCAACTACTGGGGAGGCTGAGGCAGGAGAATGGCGAGAACCCGGAAGGCGGAGCTTGCAGTGAGCCGAGATCGCGCCACTGCACTCCAGCCTGGGCGACAGAGCAAGATTCCGTCTCAAAAAAAAAAAAAAAAAAAAAAATCCTAGCAAATATATCTCACTCCATTTTGACATATAGTTGATATTTTTATGACTCTTAACAAAGATATTTAAATCGTTGTTCTGCACCGTTTATCTTGCATATGGATGTCTTCATGATTCTAAACAAATAATTGAAAAGTTAAAAAGTTCAATAAAATACGGCACTGTGGCGGTATGTATAACTCACCAAACCTATGACTCTCTCTTTAAAGTAGGGTCAGTGTATAGATTTTGCACATGGGGTTGTGTGCATGCGTGTGTGTGTGAACATATGGTGCAACATAATCATTTCTAAGTTTAAACAGGTCTGACTTTGACAAAGTTACTTAATCATTTAATCTGCATAGGCACCAGTCGTCTCAGTACTACCTGAGTTCTCAAAATTCTCCACTTTTTAAAAATAATAAAAATTCGGCCGGGCGTGGTGGCTCACACCTGTAATCCCAGCACTTTGGGAGGTCGAGGCTTGTGGATCACGAGGTCAGGAGATCGAGACCATCCTGGCTAACACGGTGAAACCCCGCCTCTACTAAAAATACAAAAAATTAGCTGGGGATGGTGGTGCGCGCCTGTAATCCCAGCTACGTTGGTGGCTGAGGCAGGACAATCGCTTGAACCCGGGAGGCGGAAGTTGCAGTGAGCCAAGATCACACCACTGAACTCCAGCCTCGGCAAAGGGGCGAGACTCCAACTCAAAAATAATAATAATAATAATAATAATGATAAAAATTATATAATTCATTATACCATCTTTGTATATTCTCCTGGAATATTTGTATAGAATTTTTGTATATAAAGAGATAATTCAGTCTTCAGCGTTTCATTTTAATTTTTTTTTCACCAGAGTCACAAAGTGCTATTAAGAAAAAAAGGCCTTTTATTTAAAGCATTATAGAATTTCATGGAATATAAAATTGGTCTATGGGGTCTAGATGAAGATTTTGTTATATAAAGGCGAGCTTTTCCCAGTGAAATAGCTCCTGAAAGTTTAGAAATTATTCCTTTTTTTAAGTCAAATTGCACTTGCATGAACTATCAATGTATAAAGACGCTTTGCTCCTATTTATACAGTTTGGGGAATAATTAATTTGAATGAGATTTTCTTGAGTGTTAAATAGTTTTAAGCTACAGAATGGAAGCATGACCTCAAGACCCGATTGCACAAGGTCTTTTTTTGACGTAGTATTTTCCTTGAAATATAAGGTTTTTTTTTTTCTGAGTTTTATTTCCTTCTTAGCATATAAAGTAGTACTAAAACAAGCTCCTTACTCTCAACATTGAATGTTTATATCAAAACATTGACTTAAACATCATGTTTACATTAAAGTAAATGTGGAAAACAGACAATCAGTTCTTAAAATTCTCGTATTTCACAAGAATATTACAGGGTTAAGGAAACTTTAGACATCAAATAATCTAGATTTCTTATTCCACAGATAACAGAAAGAGATGAGAAAATGAATAAAAGCCGATGCCCATGGTCTCTCAGTGAGGTAGTAGTGACGTTGACAATACACCTTTTTTTTAACCTAGCCCAATGATCTTACTAGTACATCAGTCTGCCTCACTTTCAATGCAAATTGGTTCCTATGGATTAATTTTCAAATGAATACTTGCCAAATGGATGGCAGGTAGAGGGCTTGGGATGTCAGAGCAAGGTTAGGAAACAGGTAAACAGAACAAGACTGCAAAGTTGTTCCTATCAAAATAAATGAGCTGCTTTCCTGATTCCTATGGGAAGAACTGTTTCGATGAAACCGAAACATCAAATCAGTGAAGAAAAAACTATCAACTAAAGACGAACCCTTGCATATTTGGACAGCGTTATTTAAGGAACATGGTAAAAGATCCGGAGTGATTTTTTTTTAATTGTCACATATGTTATGGTCTAATTTACTTATCCAATAAATACATTTCAACAAATAACTGAAATAATATATCAGCATATCTACTTGCTGGAACCTAGGGGAAAGTTTATTTATTTCCATCTACTATGTTATTGCATATAAATATGTACATATACACATAAATACGCATACATGAGTTTCAATCTCATTTACAGAAAATGGTTTTGAACAATTCATTTAGGTCTACCATTCAGGATATCTACTAAATTGGAACTTTGACAGTACAGCATAAATAATAAATAAATAAAACATGAATATAATAAATGCAATAAAAAGTACAATATAGAATGAATGCTTCATTTTTACAAGTTATATTTTCATAAATATATTTTGAAATGAAAAAATATATTTTCATAAATTTTTGTATTTTGCTCCTGTGAAATCTTGTGATTTTCAGAAAAGTATTAGAGAACTTCTGACTAAAGATTCACTGACATCTTTAAATAAGAAAATCATGTTTTATAAACAAATTACCTTTATCAAAACTTTATAACTTAAATTTTTCTTTAGATGCTGACCAATTATAAATTAGTTTATTGAAATTTGTCTAACCAGAAAAATATGAAATAAAATAAAAAGACTATGAACTTCAAATTTAAACAGATCTAGTTTTGAATTCGGCCTAGGCTACTAAGTCAAATTTCTCAATATTGTTAATTATTGGTTAAACATATCAAACTGGAACAGTTTTAAATATTAAATGAGATAAGATATAAACAGCTAGACTCATTTAATATGATTTTGATGTTTTTGCGTCTTTTCATCATGTTTTCTCTGCCCATAAATCCTGACTTACAAACCAGGTAGATAATCAAAAATAAAGTTGAAGCTCATGATTCTAATTTTTCAAAAGTAAATGTTTATATTTTATTCACATCTAGAGAAAAATAGGCTGTAATCTGTTTATTTACATTTCACTTATATTTAAAAATAAACCTTAAATATGGGATAATTAAAAGACCAGGAAGTCTCTTTCAGAAAGAATGGGAATGAATCTATATTTTAAGAATTGTTTTTAATTTGGCAGCATGTAGGGAAATTCAATGGACAAAAGCTAATTTATATAATACTGAGATTACTTATCACATTAATAATAATTGTTTTAGGAAAAGGAATATATTTAAATGACCTTTTCGTAACCATTCATAGTTTCTATTTTTATGACTGCTTCAGAGAACATTCCATGTTGACCCTCCCCGGAAGTAATAGTACTGCAGATGAACACCCACAGCTGTTTTGTTTTATATGTTGCCTAGCACACCTCACGTTTTCCCTTAAGATATTGGGATTGCAGACCCATCATATACTTCCTCAGGTTCATCAACTCATTGTCTTATTCCTCTTTAAAACCCTCAGAATGTCTAACACAGACATTCACATCATAGGCTCTTAGTAATTTATTAGTTAGTGAGTGAATGGATTATCCATTTGGTGTTTGCTATTCTGTGCATAAGGCAGATGCCTTTAAAATGACATTTTATTTAAATTATTACCTAACAGTGTTATTCCAAGATTTTTTAAAATTCATTTGGTATTTAGGAGCACAATAACAGTGGTCAGCAATTTTAGCTATTATCGTGAAGTGTCATTTCACCAGGGATTCATCCTGTGAAATGGATGATATGGAAGCATTTATTTAGAAGAGTTTTAAAGTACTTAGGCGCAGTCCAAAGCACTCAATTTCTAAGCTAAATGCTTCACTAGTTCACTCTCGGGCAAGTCTATATGACTTTGGCTTTAAATTAGAGAGCAATGCTTCCTCACATTCCAGCCTGAAATCATTTACATTCTGTAAGGCTTCTCATGTGCTTCCGTCGCTCAAATAATATATTGCCTTTTCTAGCATGTGATAGATCCAAACTGCTCCCACAGGTTATTATTTTGTTTGGTTTTCAGAATAGTACTGTGTTGTTGGGAAAATTTCTTGAAGCCCATTTTATGGATTACAAATCCCAACTCTTGAGGCATTTCGGATTCTTTGCCCAAATTGTCATATCATGGGGAAATGGTAGAATGAGGATTGGTACCAAAACTTTCATTACCTTGCCAAATGCTTTTGATCTTTCATCTTTGCCTTAAGAGATTAAAACTAATACAACAATAGCAAAAATGGAGATTTAAAGAGAAAGTAGAGAAGGAATAGTCTGCCTTGAAGAAACACTTTATAATATCCTCAAAAGCTATATAATTACAATAGTACTGGCTCTGTGTTTTGTTTTTGTTTTTATTATAATATATCTATTAATTTATTGCATGTTTTCCAATAACTTTAACACACGCTGTTGTATAAGGCAATTAAAACAACAACAACAACAACAAAAAAGAGACAAACAGTTGTTCCAAACCATCAGTCTTTGTTCTTTGAAAGAGCTTTTTGCAAATTCTCTTTCGTTTGGACTCCATAGAAATTATCTCCTAGCTCATCCTAAGAGATAATTCTCAGAAGAACTGTCAAGGGCAGTTCCGATTTTGGAAGTTGTCTTGCGGTAGCAGATGTGATTCGCTACACAGTGTTCTCTTCTTTAAACAATGACCATTTTGGAAGTGTAATAAAGTGTTTGCCAACAAGTTGCCTAAAAACTATGACAGCAAGGTCCTTAACTATAAGTTTATGTAAAGGAAGAATCCCAGCTCATATAGACACATACAAAGGCATGCAGACTTACAAACGCACAGACACACAATCACAGAAAAATATACACACACACACTTAAATATGTGTTAGAAGAGTCATTTGGAAACTAAACCTGGGTAAAAATAACTTCTTAAAGTGTACTACTAGTAGTTCACAGATTACAAAAATGCCAATATTATAAAAACTACACAGTCAGCCTTTATTTGTTTACCTGAAATAACTTTATTAGCATATATAAGTAGGTAGTTAAGTTTAAAGAGAAACTATTTCATTCCATTTTATTTTTTTGTTTGTGTTTTGTGTGTGTATTTCATATATACTTATTATTTCATGTAAGTATATATGTAGTGAAAAATAAATGCATAGTATAATAAAGTGGATGTTTCTTTGAAAAAAATTTACACTTCTTTAAATTCCTTTAACATTGGTTTCCATATATTAATATTATTTTTGTGTGTTTTTCCTCTGGTGTATTAATAGAACTTTTGAAATTAGCATGATTATCAGTGGTTATCGTATTCTTAATTGACAAGAGACCCTCTTCAATTCACATATTTTATGAAGCTCTCATAAACATGTATTTTCCTATAGTACATATTAGCATTTTATATCATTATCATATTGATTATATTTATTGTCAATTTTCTGGATTTCTGGAGTAACACAGTCCAGAATATTTTCATCCCAAATTTTTTTTGTGTGACATCTTTGTTTAAATAATAATGACAGAATGGAAAATTACTGTACGTGGATTCAAAAATAATGGTGAATGTTTTATTACATTTTACATCATCACTTACCTAAAAAAAACCTGTTTAATGTGCAAGGTGAAAAGTTAAAGGAATTGTATGAAATAATTAGATTTAAACTATGTTAAAGAGATTCAAATGATCAAGTAATTTTGGAATATATAAAAACTAATAGTCACAATTTTTGCATAGATTGAGCAGTCTGAAAATCTGGATGATTAGTATTTTACTCACTTCACTGCAATATTTTAGGTAGTACAGTCATAAAAATTAAAACTAGAAACGGCAATATTTTACATGGTAAAAACTACCACATGTAGTAAGCAGTATTAAACATTTGGGAAAAAAGGAACCAAGAAAAAACAGATTGAAGAAATTATCCAAATTAAAACTAAACCTGCAATCTTTATTTTAAAAAATACAAGCGGCTGGGCGTGGAGGCTCACGCCCGTAATCCAAGCATTTTGGGAGGCCGAGACGGGCAGATCACCTGAGGGCAGGAGTTCAAGACTAGCCTGGTCAACATGGTGAAACCCTGTCTTTACTAAAAATACAAAAATTAGCCAGGTGTGGTGGCAGGAGGCTGAGGAAGGAGAATCGCTTGAACCCGGGAGGTGGAGGTTGCAGTGAGCCGAGATTACAACACTGCACTCTAGCCTGGGCAACAGAGTGAGACTCAGTCACAAAAATAAAAAGTTTTTAAAAAAATGCAAGCAATATAATTAATCCTTCTAGTACGCAGAATCCCACCAAGCAAGCAGACCACAAACTCAAAGAGGATCACTGAGGAAAAAAATGGAGCTGTTGAGAGGCTATGGTCAAGGGACTAACAAAAATCGAAAGCTATTACCACTCCTAGGCCTGAAGACATAAAAGAACATCTTTAAAAGAACTTAATCCTCGATATATAAAAACCAGATATAGAACCAAAATGCTCACTGTTATTAAAAATTTGGGGATCAAATTACCCATTATGTCAAAATGACACAGTCAATTTTTTTTGCCCACAAACTGAATGCATATTCAGACATGAAAAAGCTAATCCAATGATGCAAACCCATTAACTCAACAAATATTTGTCAAGTACCCACTATGAACCAACTGAAGTGCTAAAGCATTACATGCAACTATCGTTGTTGCCTTTAGGGAGCTTAAAGTTGAGAGGGTGATATTAATCAGTAAGCAAACATTAACACACAAAACAGAATCACAAATTCTGATATGTTCTGTAAATGACAATTTCATGCTGTAGTTGAAATTCTCATGAATCGCTTCATTGATTCAATGCTGCCTTATTTTTGATGGTTGCCTTGGTTGTTGTAAGTCATTGCAGATAGAAATCTTATGTGTGATAAGGATTCATAGTTGAAACAACTTTGTGGACAAATTAGCTATGCTGTGGTCAGCCCATATCCTACAAATATCTGTAACCTTGATAATATCGTAAATTAGTTAATGAAATTCCAGTGTATGCTTCCCAAAAAGGAATTTGTTCAAGAGGATAATCTACCTCATTAAATTAGTTTAGCTCAAAAAAGAAAAAGCTTAAAAATCAAAGCCACAATAAAACACAAATGCAAAAGTTTTAAAATTCTCTTTGAATTCATAAGTAAAGGATATTTAAGGAAACATTGCTAAGTAACTCAATACATGTCGCTAATTGCACTAATTATTATTTTGTCACATTTATTACCTTCATCTTTCATAGCATGAGTAATTAAGTGACAAAAACAGGTTTTATATTGTGATCAAACAATATTCTGTTACATCCACCCTACTGATGTCTTCAAAGAAAGTGCTGTCACAGTTTTTCCAGTAAAGAACATGTAAGTTGATAAGCAGAAAAATGTCTCAGTTTAAAGAACATAAACCTAAGGCCTGGATGGACTTGATAGCATGGGAAAAATATGCGAAGAAAGACTTCCAACAGAAACTAATTTAACACAATTCATATTGTCTGTGGCATATGGATGCTCTTTTTTAATATGTCCATTGAAATTCTTACTTAATATCACAGGATCCTGTAGTTGCAACTGAAGGCTTCACAAAGGGCCTTCTCAGCAGAAGGGCAATTTTATTAATGACTGACTCCTCTTTTAAGTGTTGGACAAAAGCCAGCAGAAACGCAAAGCCCACAAGCCTCAAACAATTATGTGATTGGCTTCGGCATGGGCATGAGAAAGTGGGTATGAGTGTGTTCGTGTGTGTGTGTATTTAAAAGACATAGTGGTCAATCTCCAGGGATATTCTGCTTCATGATGACAAAGAGTAGATAAATTACCCAAAATAACACAAAATATATGAAATGAAAGCTATTACTTCTACACATAAAAATAACAAATGACATCACGTGACCTTCTTTCCACATTTGATAGTGAAGAACTTTGAGTCTGAGTCTAACTTTTGATCTATACAGAGGTCAGAGGTTACCTTTAAATGGGAGTTTTGGATCTGCCTGTCAGTGCATCTGAAGCACACCTCTGCAGATATTGGCTGACTTTGATTATAAGCATTTTGATAACAAAAAGTCAGAGTTGTCTGGTATCAGCAGACACCATTTTGAACAGTACATTATCTAGACAGTCTGAAGCCAAGTTGAGACAATTGATATCTGAGATTGATAGTCTATCTGGCAGCCATTCCTAGACAATGTCTGAGCTCTGACCCTGTATCTACTTGAATCACTACAAAGTTAGATTTCCAGACCACACAATACTATAGCCAGTATTATGTAACACTTGGCTATTAGGTTTCACATGTGAGAAGAAATGGCCATACAAAGAATATTCATGATTTGTGTAGATAATTAGATAAGGGATATTGAATGATATTCTGTGCAGTCTTAAGCAAGTTTCCAAAATATTCATCAATATTATTTGTTATATGTTATACATTCAACTATCTCAAATTTTTATATAGCATACTTTTTCAAAAGTTTAACATATCATCTACTTCTCTTGAACCTTTTCTGATAAGATTTTATTTATTAATTACTCAAATATAAATAAATTTTACTTTGGTTTCTAATATCAATTTCAGATGACACCCTCTATGAAGTTCAAGTAATATTTAAGTCTATAGGCCTACTTTTTTCAGTGACAGGACAAAGTTGATGCATACAAAGTAGTATGAAAATGTGGATTCAAAAGTCTTAGATATTAAGTAAAAACAACTATGTGTTTTTTTCTTTTTTTTTTTTTCGAAATACTCCCTTGTTTTTAGATCTTTCTACAATAAACAGCACTCATTGTCAGGCTGTTTAATGAAAAACGGATGTGTGCAGTTTAAAAACAGTTGATAAAGTAGTATAGAGGTAAATTGGAACAATTTTATTCCTGTAAAATTTTGAACAATTCTTATTTCTAGATACTTGACAATTAAGATGCACTGCTGATAATCAGGCATGTTTTTGGCATTATTTGTAATCACCCCAAACTGTTTATCAGATTCTTTAAAAGAAGAAGAAAAAAGAAAAGCAAAGAAAGGCCAGGAGCAGTGGCTCACGCCTGTAATCCCAGCACTTTGGGAGGCTGAGGCAGGTGGATCACTTGACTCCAGGAGGTTGGTACCAGTCTGGGCAACATGGCAAAACACCATCTCTACAAAATACATAAAATTTAGCCAGGTGTGGTGACACAGGCCTGTACTCCCAGCAACTCAGGAGCCTAAGGCAGGAAGGTCGCTTGAGCCTAGGAGGTCAAGGCTGCAGTGAGCCATGATTGCACCACTGCACTCCAGCCCGGGTGACACAGCAAGACCCTGTCTCAAGGAAAAAAAAAAAATTAAAAAGGATTTATTATGAATTTCTTATATTTTAACACTTGAGTGTTCATATGAAAAAGAGTTAAAATGTTAGTAGTACATATTACCTTTTCTACCCTGCTTTCTCTATACTATCATCATCTCATCTCAGCCTGCACAAAAAGGGCATCTAGTGATTATGATTTTTACTGAAAATTGATAGTAAATATATTATCAAATCAACCATTATCTTATTTTTAGGACATAGATGAATAATACAATTGAGGATTAAGTTATAAATATTGTAAGTTGAAGTGTAATGCAAACTTAGAATTTGTTTGTAATGATTGACACTATAATATTAAAGATTATAATAAAGGCAAAGGATGACTTCTAAATTTGTTTTTATTTTATGGATAAATGTTTCAAAAAGTCTTGATATTTTTAATTGATTTTGGACACTTTTTTTAGGTGTTCAGATGTAACACAATTCTTTTTGGCATTTGAAATCCCCCAAATATAATCTCCTAGTACTTTTCTACTCTTATTTTTCACAGTTATGATTAGGTTTTTTGGGCTAATTTAAGTTACTCAGGAATACTTTTATCATCTCTTTACCTAAAACTCTTACACATTTTTCTTTCCACAATTCAATCTCTGTTTCATGGTCTACATCAACTATTCCTTTGTTTATGATCTTCCTTTCAGGAAGCAAACGCTTGTTCTTTTGAACTTCTAAAATGCTTTATACCTCTCTTGTGGCACAGATTTTCTGCTTTGTATCTTGTGGCCATGCATATAGTTATCTGTCTCTCCTGCTGAATAACGTTATTCTTTGGCAGGGATTTCATGTTTTGTATTCATTTTTCCCAGGAAATGCCTTACACCATGCCCTGCACATAACAGGGATATTATAAACTTATGCATTTATTATTTTATGTTATCCCACTCCTCTGCCTGTGGGAAGGATATCTTTGAATAATGGAAAGTTCTGGTGTAAAAACAACAATAAGCCTTGGTTCAGTCTGCAACACAGTGATCTAAAAGTTTTATTCATTCACTCAAGAAATATGTATTGATCTCCTGTGGTTATCTATATACTACCTGAGTTGAAAAGTAGAGAATTAGAAAAGGTCATATTGAACTGCATCTTGCCGTTCTTTTCCAGAATGTAGGTAGGTAAAGATCAATTTGATTTCTCCTCTCATTGCCTTTCTGCTTCAACTCTAGGACGAGAGGAGTGGTTTGAAAAGTATGTTTCCCATAATCATGTAGGAGCTATTGAAGAAAAGAGGATTGGGGGCCAAGTGGGAGACAAGCTCTGAGATTCTACACTCTTCCTCTTTAACCAGGGCAACACTAGCCTTTCTTGTTTTATTATTAGAATACAAAAAGACAAAAAAAATCAAAGAAACTTTCACTTGAGGAATACAACAAATAAAAGTACATTTTAAAATCACAGTAGAAAGGAACATAGTATTAAAAGGAAGGCAATCTCTAAAAGGTGAATCATATTGCATGCTTGTACATTGCTTTTGTGATGAATCTCTTCAGTATACAAATGGAAATTCTTTTTGCAATACTTCAGACAATTCAAAGAAAATCATATCATTTTACTTATAGAAAATTGAGCTTGATTATATAGTGTTATTGTAGACCAAATAATTTAGGATAGATGCAGGGTTGAATTTCTTAAAAGGTAACCTGGCTTTCAGTTGTTTTCTGGTACAAGAATACCCAAGTAAAAGTCACTTGAACAATAATATTTCTGGTTAGCTCAGTGGCCCATGTTCTCTGAGATTCTCCCCATCTTTCTCTTACAGGGGCAAGATGGCTGCAGAAGCTCCAGGAATCTTGTCCTCTCATGACATTGTCCAAAACCAAAAAAAGGGAAAACATTTTCTTCACATTTCTCTCTCCTTTTGACAGGAAGCAAAATGTCCTTAGATGTACTCAGCACAATTTCCCCAGGTGTGGGTATTTAGGCCAGGCTCTACCCGAATAAGAGACTAGAAATGGGAGTGTGTGGAATTTCTAGCCTCTATCCTGGGTGATAGGCTCTGCCAGTAGTGAGAAGGGAAAGAAAGGGGACTACGCTGTGTCAAACAGCTACTGATAAATGGTGTGTAGCAGAGATGCTTAAAAAGAAAAAAGTTACATTCTTATTAATATCAAATTAGTGTGACCCTAACCAGATGCTGAAATAAACTATATTTAAGACTATTAGATTCAATAAAACTACACTACTTTTGATTTATGATTTTCCTTCTCTTACTATGTTATAATTGCAAATAGTTAATTGTATATCATTTATTTTATTGCTGATTCATTTTCAGTTTATTCCTATTGTATTGCCATTCATGGCTTGCCTTTTGAAGCGAGACTAAAAAGCATGTTTGTTGGAACTCTGCATGTGTTTTTGATTGTGGATGCCATTCACACATAGTGTGAATTAAGATGCTCTTGTATTTTTCCATTCTTTGATGCTTGTTTTTATGTCCACCATACATGGCCCTTTGTTACTGCATTGTTTCATCTCTTTATTTCTATTTTGTATCTGCCAGAGTAAAAAAGATTAACATATTTTAAAGAGATTTCTTAATCAAAAGATAAATCACTTTTAGGCTTTACGTGAAGAAACCTTAGATACTGTAAAAAATGTTTTCATCTCTTCTACCTCAGCTATTCTCCGTCATATCTTGATACCTTAAACTGTACAAAACGAGCTTGTAGAATTACTGTCTGAGAAGTTAGTGTTTGTATGTTTTTAATTTAATGTTCATACTAAACTTTATGTTAATCAGTTCAGAATTTTTCAACTAACTCAGATTAGTTGAAAAATCTCTCTAAGAAGGGAGTATTTCTGAATATGATGAAATATGGGAGGTTCAGAAAAAAAAATGTGTTATCTATTTAATTCGTTACCAAGAAGCATGAACCACTGTGAAGACAGAATCCAACTTTATAAAAAAAAATTTTCAGCTTACATAAATTAATAATTGATTTTGTACTCAGACACACTTATTGATCTATAATTAAAAGACCTCCAAAAGCTATTTTTAAACTGCCTTCCTTGCATTTCAAAATGTAACTGAAGTTTTAGAATGCAGGGAAACCTTAAGTTTTTGAAGGAGGTATGAAGGTTATAGGCATACTCTCTAATTATTGGTTTTGTGAGATGCCTTTAAAGTCTCCATTGTGATATTTTATATTTTGTTTTACCATTGCGATTTCTTCAATGCAAAAAGTATCTTGTTAATAGTACATAGGAAATTGGGTAAATTTAGTATAAATCTTAACTACTATGTTTGGAATTATTTTCGTGTGTGGGTGGGTGGGAGATGTGGTGTGTGTGTGTGTGTGTGTGTGTCTGCATTCACCAGCCCACCACCATTCCCATTCCCTTGAAAGGTAGGTGAGGAAAGTGTCTAATAGATAATTGCTTTTAATGTATTTGCCCCATGGAAGCTCTCCTCTAGAGAAAAGCACTAAAGCAGAAGAGATGAAATTGTTCCTTGTTGCAATGAATATTAGCTCTGTCCTTGCTAATTGAGAAAAAGTAAAGTCTGGGAAGGAACGAAGAGGGAAAATCTTGTATTATTTTTGCCTGTGAGTTCATTTTCAGTTTTTGTTCTATTATTTTAATTCACAAACTTTATATTTCACAGAAGTTTTCCATTCACAGCAAAATTCAGTGGAAGGTACAGAGATTTTCCTTATATGCTCTGCCTCCATTCATTTTTTATTTTAATCAAAGGATCATTCACTCATGTTTTCGCATGAGATGTACACACTTTGAAGAAGACTTTAAGCACAGAAATTTAACACATAAAAAGGCTTGCTCCCTCCCCCAGCCATCTCAACACCATGTAATATTATACTTCACTGGATAATCTCTATGAGATTTCAGACACAAGTCAGCAACTTCAGCTAAAGACAAGCAGATATGATATTAGGAGGAGAGGTAGTGAGGACTACTTTATATTTGAAATTATTTGAAGTGTAAGTTTCTTTCCTACAATTTCACATAACATACGCTTTTATTGATACTTTTTAGTAAAATCATTATTGATATTTTAGTTTACTTAGGAAAAATTGTAAGCTACAAACCATATATGTTATGTTTCTGAATATGCAGTCATGTCATAACTCAGGAGGAAAAAGTTTCAACTTTCTGGTTTGAGAATATTTCTTGCACCTGTCCCTTTACTTTTATCCCAAATTGTCACAGCAACCCCAATTCAAGTTCTTACTGCCTTTCAGCTGGGCTTTATGATAACCTTTCATTTTTAACTCCTAACCTATTCTAATCCATTCTATTTGATACCAGAAAAGAATCTTGCTAGATCACAAATTTTGCACAGCCAATTCTCTCATTTGAAAGAAAGACAGAAAAACTATTAAATGTCAGTTGTCCTATCATCTATTGCTATCTAATTAATGCCAACATCTATATCCTGAAAACTTAGATTCAGATAAATATAATAAATATACAGCAAAGTTGGACATTATAGTCTCTAATAAAAGTGTAATGGCTATCAGGGGTCCGGACTTTCGCTGTTTCTGTAGAACTGAGCTCTAGAAAAGTGCTCTGATTCCACAGTACTTTGGCCCAATTATTAGATAGAAACATTAACAGGAGAGGAGGGCAATTAATCAGGTTACCACTGTCTGACAAAGTGATCCCTTAAGACCATTTAACTCCCTTTGTTCTAATTCTGTTCCCTCAAGAGAAACATCTAATCTATGATTTTTGTCTCCTCTGAGAACCTACCTACCCAGGAGGGTATGCCCTTGCCAATGACTTGCTCCAGTTGTCAAGCCCCAGAATATCCCCCCAATATAATTTGAAACATTGTTACTTCAGCCTATGAATTAGCCTCATGTGAATTTAACTCTAATGACTTTATCCCCCAGGAATAGAACAGCTGTAGTGATCTAACAAAACCAAATTTCTAACTGCACACCAAGACTATGACAATTCCATTAAGCGGTATTTCTTGAGGTACATTATGAAAAAGTAGCCTAAGTCACCCACAAATGTTATTGAAAGTTTACTTGGTTGGAAACCATCTACAAAGCTTGATTCATTCCATGGTGGCCTTTATTGGGAATTTGTGTTAGCTATTATTGCATGCTGACTTCAACAGAGTAACTCATCACTCTCCAAACATTAATCTGGGTTCGTTTTATTCTAAATCATTCCAACACTTGGACTCCAAAGACACAAAAACACTAGCATCATATCTCAGTACCTTCAAATAATATTATGTCAAAAAGATTCCATTAGTGAACTTTTATATTGAAAAATTCCCAGTTAACCCTAGCCTAAAATACTATTTACAATTATAGAAAAATAAAAGATTCAAAAAGCATTAACACTGAACTTTACTGTCTTTGGTATATATTGCACACTCCCATTGATTAACATCATATTGCATAACTACTTTGTATTTTGAAAGTAATGTACCAATAGACCACATTACTGAAAAAAGGTCTCAGTGTTAACCTAGTAGTTGTAGTTCAGTGGATATTTGTGTTTGGAGGCACTGTTTGGATTCTCTCCTGTGACCTGGAAAACCATTTTTCATGCCTTCGTTTCCTCATCTGTGAAAGGAAACTATACTACACTATAGTACCCACATCATAGGGCTGTTTGGAGCATTAAATTATTTAAGCCATATGACCGCTTAGATTCTTATACATAGCAAGTTTAACTCTTATGATTTTGTATTTTCAAATACTGATTTATTTGCAGCAGAACTGGATATTAGAGACTTTTTGTTCCGGTACCTTTTGACTTTGCTGAGGTCTCCAGAGTTACCCTCGTTTCATAGGCCTTGTGAATGTAAAGCAAGTTCTAGTGGTTGTGAAATGCTGAAACATTTCCCCATTATTCTAACTGATTTTGAATGACATATTCTCTCTAAGGGGCTCTTCTCATATGTTCTCATTGCAAGCTGAGAGGAACTGTAACTTTATCTGGCTTGGGCAGGTTTGATTGTTTTGGAAAAATCTGTGCCTTTCAAGGAATGCATTTAAGTATTTTGGTGATTCTTGATCAGGAATTGCCTACTTCCTCAGAGTCTGTTGAGAATAAACTCAGAGTTTCTTTGCTTTCAGCCTCAGTGAATTCATATTATCTTAGTGTCCTATATTTTTAAATAAAAGGGATTGTAACTATTTATATATATTCAAAATGTATATTAATAAATGTGTACATATGAGTGAAAAAAATCTTTACATTCCCATGTTCAACCCTGAAGGCTGAATGCATAGATATGTTCTTTGACTGAGATATGTAAACAATTTGCTTTAAAAATGGTGTGGAAAATAATTTTACTGGTTATCTCATTAGAAGATTTTAAAAACCAACAGTTCAATATTGTTTCGCTCATTTTCTGTTTTTCTCTCAAGGCTCTATGCTACTAGACCATGTATTTACAATTCTGACAAAGGACATAGCAAGTTTCACAATTGCAATACGTTTTATGCCTACTGTTCTCTCAAAGTTTTAACTATAATATGTTCATAGATCCAAGGTTATTGGGGTATGATATTCGACCCAAATTTAAATCTTACTCTAAATTCGAAAGATCATATATTGCTTTTCTGTTTTTTAAGTGATCAATATGTAATTCTCTCCATGATGCAGTATGAGCAATGAAGCAGAAGAGTTCACTTTCCCCTAATAATAAACATATTTTAGATTTGAAGCTCTGAAAATAATTTTGGTGAATAATGAGACCTAGTTACTTAAGCTTTATATATTTATAAATGACCATGACATGCAAAATTTTTTTCTTTCCACATGTGTATAAAATATAGATGGACTCGAAATATGATTATATATTTATTTTTAAAACTGATATTTCCTTTTCTCTTGTGATCCAAATGTGATCACATCAATCTAAAACTTTGTTTTCCCTGCCACCATCTTGAACTCTTTGCTTAGAGACATTTAATGAAAAGTACAAAAAGAAAAGAAATTCCATCTGTCTCTGGAAATTCAGGTTTCTTGAAGATCAGGGACAGGACTCAAAAGATCCTTCAACGTTTAAACTTCCTGAATATGACATGATTTGTAATATAGAAGTAAAGGCACATCAAAGTTGACATTTCAAAAATGTGACCTGTCTATTGTACTTAACTTTAAGG